>NC_000006.12:17635757-17787272 GCF_000001405.40 Homo sapiens
TTTTCAAATCCATTATCTAAAAAGCCAGTGACTCATCAAAAATACAAACTTGACTGTATCACTCCTCTGCTGAAAATGATGGTTCATCATTGAAAGGAGGACATCCAAGTTCTTTAATACATATGTGAGCTTCCTTTGTTCATGTGTAACAAATTACTTCCTGACTCAAAGTTTTGTTATTCCCCTTCAACTTAAAATTAATTTTGCTTTCCTGCATACATCAAGGGCTTTCTTTTTGTAGGTGAGCAGGGGAACCAGATGGGAAGACAAAAATATTTCATAATGAAGATTCTAGGCCGGGCATGGTGGCTCACGCCTGTAATCCCAGCACTTTGGAAGGCCAAGGCGGATAGATCACTTGATGTCAGGAGTCCAAGACCAGCCTGGCCAACATGGCGAAACCCTGTCTCTACTAAAAATACAAAAAATTAGTTGGGTGTGGTGGCATGCACCTGTAATTCCAGCTACTTGAGAGGCTGAGGCACAAGAATTGCATGCATCTGGGAGATGGAGGTCTCAGTGAGCCAAGATTGTGCCACTGCACTCCAGCCTGGGTGACACAGTGAGACTCTGTCTCAAAAAAAAAAAAAAAAAGGAATGAAGATTCTAAAATCTTACTCATAGGGAAATATCCAGTAGGAATCAGAAATATGGCATGAGGGCTCAGGCAAAAGGTCTAGGTTAGTAACTCAGAGCTGTACATTACAGACACAAAACTGCATATTCATGAATAATGCATTGAAAACAGTGTAATTCCCAGGATATCCATGTTATCATACATCTGTACCATATAATTATATAATATTACAAAACCATCATCCACTTCTGGATGAGTTAAAGATTCAATATGAATCTTCACTAATTCTTCCAACTTTGAACAGAGAAACAGAAAAAACTCAAAACTAACTCCATGTTTCTGGCTGCCTAGATTAGAATTAGTGATTTGGTAATTTACAATCATTGCAACAGCTACAGCCTTTTCATTAACGACTATAGTCTACCCCCTAAAGAAACCTTCCCTGTAAATGACCACTAGCTATCCTGATTTCTATTTGGAGAAGTAATATTTTACTCTGTACAAAGGTTTGAGAAATATTACCCCATTCTAAGATCTTTCAGAATCTGTATTAGTCAACTTTGAACAAGAAATTTCTGATAAAACTGTACAAAAAGAGGAGGTCGTCATATATACCAGACTAGTTAACACATAACCTATCCTAACTGAACATAAAGATCTAGCTGCAAACAAGACATTTTTACCTCAAGATAGTTTAGAAAAATTAATATGTATGAGAAATGCTCATCCTGAAACATCTAAAACAAGGATTCTTAGAATAAATTAAACTGTTCAACAGAAGTAATAAGCAAAATTACTCCATAAAGCCAAAAACATACCTGGTTTCTCAGACATACAGGACACACACTTATTGTCTTCTGCATTATTAGAAACACAGCATACTGAACACTCCCAAGATCCAATGGGCCTTTTGAATTTATCTCCAAATCCTAAGGTACCAGTGGTTACAGTGCAGCTGGAAGATGAAGCAGTCATAGTCTCAGCACTTTCCGAAACCACTGTCAATGTAAGGGCTCGCTTCACACAAGTTCCAGGTTTCGGTGTTTCACAGGCTACACATTTTATTGCTTCAGGTTTATTTTGCACTAAACAGGTATCACAATCCCAAGTGCCTATCACTGGTTTAAATTTGTCTCCAAAGCCTGTCCCTGATGCAGAAAGAGTTGTTTTGCCACTTTTATTTGGTGTTTCAATTCCAGTCTGTTTAGCAGTATCTCTGGGTGACAATTTTGCTGCTTGACAGGCTATGCATTTGTTGTCTGTAACTTTGTTCTGGAGTAGACATGTATCACACTGCCATGATGACCCAGCTTTTAAACTCTCCCCAAACCCAATTCCACTAGAAGAAAAGCTACTTATTGCTGGTCTTGTATAAACTACTGGGCTTGTTGCGGTGGGCTGAGCAGCAACAGAATCTATCTTCGGCGATGCGAAACCTACAATGAACGAAGGAGAGAGTGCAACGTTAGAGAAGCTTTATAAATCAAAGCATTAATTTGATTATTATTACTGAGAAGACGTTTACCTCACTGCACACTTACTACAATCCAAGATGAACTACTTAAGAATTGTTTTTCACTTAAGTAATCATATTTATCAATTACCTAATAAGTTACACTTAAACCATTTAAAATTCTACAAAAGATGTTTTGTTTACAGGATATCACCTTCTCCTTCAAGGAATTTCTAGTTTGATGCTTTCAATGGTACTAATTTACTGATATGTATTATTGCCATCCACATTTTGCTATATTCTGTCTCTCTACAAACACACAATACTCGCAGTCCTCTTTCTCCTTCATCCATTTCTTCTTTTAAGTGTTCCATTGGCTACACCAAATGGCTTCAATGTCATCTTTGAATTTTGTCCAGTCATAACCTACTGCTGTGGTATTCTCTACCTTCAGTAAAATCAGCTGAGCAAGTCCTTCTGTTACCAAAACTGCTGTCATTGAGTTCATTCACTCAAGCTGTATTTTACTCATGAGAATGACTTTTGTAATTGTTTACTTAGGACCAGTTAACTTTTGTCTTACACACAACACCACCATCTGTGATCTGTTTCTCCAGCCTTACCCGCCAAAGAAAAAGAAATTAAAAGGAGAGAAGATGTAGAAGGTTATTAGAGGTTTTCTAGTTCCACAAAATAATCCAGCCTAGAGCTATTTTTAGCTTAAGGACAAAATACCACATGCTTGAGTTATTCCCAGTGGGCAACGTGTTATTTTGCTTATGATTAATTTAAATCACTAAGATTGGCAAGATATTAACAGTAACCATCTCAAGGCATTACAGATTTCTTTTTCTTCTACTTTTTCAGATTTTCCTAATTTCAGTCAAATGAAGATTCTCCCCAAACATTTCCTATTTAAGAAGTAAAAAGGGAGCAGGGGGAGGTTGGCATCATGAATGCAAAGTGTAACCCCAGATACACAAGACAGACTATACACATTTGAGGCTTGCCTACTACTTGGTTAATTCCAGCACAAGCACTCTGGAGTTCTACCATAACTGCATGGAACTGTCCAAGCTACTGGACTCCTGTAGGCAGTATACTTATCTATAAAATGAGAGAGCTGGACCAGAAAAATTGAATCCTCCTAAATCCTGTTGTAAAAGCCAACCTTATTTTTTAAGAAAACCTATCTTATTACACATGGACACATCTGGTGGGTACGTTTAAATTCTTTCTGAGCTATTAGATTATCTCACAGTTTTACATTCTTTTATTCTTTTTTTCTTTTCCTTTCTTTTTTTTTTAAAGACAGAGTCTTGCTCTGTCGCCCAGGCTGGAGTGCAGTGGTTCGATCTCGGTTCACTGCAACCTCCACCTCCCAGGTTCAAGCAATTCTCCTGCCTCAGCCTCCCGAGTAGCTGGAACTACAGGTGCATGCCAGGACGCCCAGCTAATTTTTTCTCTTTTTAATAGAGATGGGGTTTCGCCATGTTGGCCAGGCTGGTCTTCAACTCCTGGCCTCAAGTGATCTGCCCGTCTTGGCCTCCCAAAGTGCTGGGATTACAAGGGTGAGCCACCGCGCCTGGCAAGTTTTACATTCTTATACTATGTATCATAAATGGAATTATGAACATCCTGTTTTCAAACAAAAAATTATTCTTATCTGAGAACTATTTATCCCCTTTCTAATTATTACCTACTAGCTTTCAAATCTTGCTTCAATTCAAGTGAGTACTGCTCCCTATGTATATGTTACAATTCAGCAGATGCTTTCCACTTGGCCTTGTTCCATATTTACCAAACTGGGGAATAATTCAAGAAGGCAGTTCAGTGCTCTCATAAGAGAAAGACATGTCTATGTGTATCATCAGGTTTACTTACTCTTATTCCTCACTGACCTACCTCTATTAATGGAGAATCCATTTCCTCCTCCTACACTTGCCTATTAGAAATTTCATTTTAGTATAGAGTCCTTTGGCTTGTAAGATATTTCCAGCAAAAGAATTACACCTAACTACATCTCTATTCAAAAGTAAATCTCCTACCAAACTAGTCAGAAATTTTTAAAAGCCTAAAGTATAATACAAAATGACATTAAATTGAGATCATGAGTTTGTAATCAAAAGGCTTATCTTTTAATTATCTTACCAGGGCTTTTCAGAATATCTAGAACACTTCCTTCTTTCAGGATTTCTGCAGGTCTAAAAGGACCCTCACAATCTTCAGGTGGTGTCTTCTTACAATTTGTACTGTTCACTGTAGTGACATGATGAGCTGTAATTTTTTTAAATTTAATAACATTATGCCAAATAAAACACTGGACTCTCAAATGCATTTTTAAAAATCTTTCAAAACCATCTTTTGGATTAATTTCTAAAAGTTCATGAAAAAAGTCACTTTAATTCAATAAACAAATGACTTTACAGGGATAATTTGCCATTACAAGGAGATAAAAACACTATTCCCATACTATATAACTTCCCCCACCAATAAAAAGGCAAAAAAATATAAACTATAATTATCGTCCAATTAACTGACTGATAATCAAAACAATCAAACTAAAAAACTGGAGAGGATATGGCAACTAGGGCAAGCCCATCCACTGCATGAAATATCTGATTACACAACAATTTACAAAACTAATCAAAAAAAGTAATTTTCAACTGAGCAATTATTTCATTTTTAGAAATTCACACTATTAATATAATTGAAAATATCCTTCAGTTATAATATTGAAAACCTATATGGTAAAATATTAAATAAGGGTATATGGTTACATAAATTACATAACAGTGACATGATGAAATACTTATGCAGCCACAGAAATCATTCTTTTTCAAAACAGAGAGTGAGTGTCTTGTTGTCAGCAAGGCCGGAGTACAGTGGTGCAATCATAGCTTAATGCATCCTCAAACTCCTGGGCTTAAGCAATCCTCCCACCTTAGCCTCTCAAGTAGCCAGGAACACAGGCGCATGCCACCACATCTAGCTCATTTTTTTTTTTACTTTTTTGTAGACATGGGGTCTCACTATGGCTGGCCAGACTGGTCTTAAACTCCTGGCCTCAGGTGATCCTCCCACATCGGCCTCCCAAAGCACTGGCATTACTGGCATGAGTCATCATGCCTGGCCCACAAAAATCATTCTTAAAAGTGTAGTTATGGGTAAAAGCAGGTTGAAAAGTCTAGAATGTTTACATCTAAAGAGTAATGGTAGCTGCTAGCAGTAAGATGAGTGACTTACTGCTTTTACTTTTTATGCTTTCTAAACTTGCATCCTTGTATTTAGAGATCTACATTTTCAGTGTGATAATGGTTTTATCGTTATATTTTTAAGGGGCGATTTCTATTTACAGATAAAACTAAGATGTTTGGGATTGTTGAAGAGTGACCTGACATGTAAGTTTCTGTGTGGGATGGGGAGAGGAGGGATGGAACAAAAGAAACAATAAGAAACAAGATGCGGCCAGGCACGGGGGCCCGTGCCTGTAATCCCAAGGACTTTGGGAGGCCAAGGCGGGCAGATCACGAGGTCAAGAGATGGAGACCATCCCGGCCAACATAGTGAAACCCCATCTCCACTAAAAATACAAAAAGTAGCTGGGTGTGGTGGTACACACCTGTAGTCTCAGCTACTCAGGAGGCTGAGGCAGGAGAATTGCTTGAACCTGGGAGGCGGAGGTTGCAGTGAGCCAAGATCGTGCCACTGTACTCCAGCCTGGTGACAGAGCGAGACTCCGTCTCAAAAACAAAACAAAACAAACAAACAAACAAACAAAAAGGCCAGGCAGCGGTGGCTCACGCCTGTAATCCCAGCATTCTGGGAGGCTGAGGCAGGCAGATCACGAGGTCAGGAGATCGAGACCACCCAGGCTAACATGGTGAAACCCCGTTTCTACTAAAAATACAAAACAAATTAGCCGGGCGTGGTGGCAGGCGCCTGTAGTCCCAGCTGCTCAGGAGGCTGAGGCAAAATGGAGTGAACCTGAGAGGTGGAGCTTGCAGTGAAACGAGCTTGCACAACTGCACTCCAGGTTGGGAGACAGAGCGAGACTGTCTCAGAAAAAAAGAAGAAAGAAAAAGAAACAAGATGGGTCAAAATGGTAAAAGTTGAAGCTGGCTAAATAGTATATGGGGATTCAGTCTACAATTCTACTTCTGAGAATCAAGTTTTCCATAATGAAATATACTAATAACCAAGTTTTTCTTTTTAAGTGTTTGCCAATTTAAAAAGTAGTAGGTAAAGTACTTTTGAAAAAAACCTTTCCCTACCTCACACAATAAACAAAAATTCAAAATGGATCAATATCCTAAATATGACATAAACACCATAAAACTCTTAGAAGAAAACCTAGGGAGTATAGCTTCAAGACCATGGATTTGGCAATGTATTCTTAGATATGACACGAAAAGCACAGCAACAGAAGAAAAAAATGGACTTCATCAAAATTAAATACCTCTGTCCATTCAAGGAAATTATCAAGAAAGTGAAAAGACAATCTATAAATGGGAAAAAATATCTGCAAATCACGTATCTGGTAAGGGTCTAGTGTCCAGACTAAGAACTCTTATAACTCAGTAACAAAAAGACAAACTGTTCAATGGGTAAAGGACGTGAAAGGCATTCCTCCCTAAGATATTTAAATGGACAATAAGCACCTGAAAAAAATGCAACATCATTTGCATTAGGGAAATGCAAATCAAAACTACAACAAAGTATTACTTTACATCCACTAGGATTGCTATAGTCAAAAAAGAGAAAATACTAAGTGTTGGTGAAGTTGTATACTGCTAATGGTAATGTGACATGGTTCAACTACTGTGGAAAACAGTTTAGTGATTCTTCAAAAAGTTTAATACAGAACTACCATCTGACCCATCAATTCCATTCCTAGGCACATATGAAAAAGCATTGAAACCAGTACTCAAACAAATACACATACACATATGTTCACAGCAGCACTATTCACAATAGCCAAATGGTGGAAACAGCCCAAATGTCCATTAATGGATGAACAAAAATAAACTGTGGCACATCAATACAATGGAATATTATTCAGCCATAAAAGGAATGAAGTATTGAGACATAAGAACCTTGAAACCACTGTGCTAAGTGAAAGAACTCAGCTGTACGAAGCCACATTGTATGATTCTACTTACATGACATATTCAGAATAAGTCAATCCATAGAGACAGAACACAAGTTGACAGTTAGCTAGGGGGAAGGCAGAATGGGGAGCAACTTTTTAATGGACAGGGGTTTCCTGGTGAGGGTGATAAATGTTTTGGAACTAGATAAAAAGTGGTGGCTGCACAACGCTGTCAAGGTACTAAAGGCCACTGAATTATTCCCTTTAAAATGGCTGTATCATGTCAACTTCATCACAATAACAAAAATATAGGCTGGACGCGGTGGCTCACACCTGTAATCCCAGCACTCTGAGACGCCTAGGCGGCCAGATCACCTGAGGTCAGGAGTTCAAGACCAGCCTGGCAACATGACGAAACCCCTTCTCTACTAAAAATACAAAAATTAGCCAGGCATGGTGGCAGGTGCCTGTAATCACAGCTACTCGGGAGGCTGAGGCACAAGAATCGCCTGAACCCAGGAGACGGAGGTTGCGGTGAGCTGAGATTGTGCAACTGCACTCCAGCCTGGGTGACAGAATGTGCAACACCCACCCCCAACCATCCCCACCAAAAATAACCACCACTCGTACAACTATGCCAAAACAAACTTATAATTTAATCACGTTCTATCTTCCTTTATAATGAAAGTTAAATTGCTTTTAGTAATTTACGGTAAAATGTTAGGATTCCCTAAAGTATGCTCAAAAAGAGGGGAAAAGGAGACAATGGAAAACTTAGCTCCTGTCACAAAGTAATCATGACTTCCACATTTTCAATTAGCTTTTTTAAATGATAGAAGTGGTGAGAACCAACGGTGTCAAAGTGAGAACACACAACTCTAAATAGGCCACTCATAATCGACTCCTTAAAAATCTGGGTAACTTCCTGAGATATAATGAAACAAAGTTGTTGTAACAAATTGTTAATTATTCAGTTATCATTAGTAAAGCATTAGCAAATAGTGGGAAACATTTTAATGCCTTTCCTCATAATAAGTCATGAAATTGGTAATTTGAAGAAATTTAATCCTCTTGAATTAATAGTTAACATTAAAGAAAAAAAACTTTTGTGACAGGAAACACAATGGAAATTCCTTATTAATTTCTATTACGTAAGGCTGTGTTAGCCAATTAAAAAAAAAAGATAAGGTTGCAAACATACCAGTCAAATTCTTAGTTTGGGCCACTTCCATAATCTGGCCTCTTATCTTCAAGACCATTCAAAGCCAAAGATATTTCTTTAGCTTCTATGTCCTGACTCTTTTTATTTTTTAATCTATCTTTTGAGGATCTAGTTTTTAAAAATTCCCAAACTCAGAAGATCATTGAAGAAACGCTTTTCGATAAGGTAATATCTCCCAACTCATGTTTCTGCCTCTAACATGCCACTCCAACCCACACTAGCACTCACCACACTGCTATCACTATACTCACATCCATCTCACCCCCAAGTAAAAATCATTCAACATCTCCCTAATGCAGTCAGAATAAAATCCAATTCATTAGCATAGCATTCCAGAACTTTTAGGATTTAAAGCTACCTCTCCAACCTCATGACAAATTGTTTGCAATTCTAAAGCGTGTCATGCTTTTTCTCTTGTTCCTGTGCCCTTGAGCTTTGTGTTTATATTTCTTGGGTAAAATGCCCTTGCTCAAAATTCTTGACCTGAGTAACTCAGCTCAGGTGTTTCTGATTTTCCCAAACACTTAAAAGAAAACCACCATTATAAAAAAACAAATTCGGCCAGGCACAGTGGCTCACGTCTGTAATCCCAATACTTTGGGAGGCCAAGGTGGGCAGATCACCTGAGGACAGGAGTTCCTGACCAGCCTGGCCAAACGTGGTGAAACACCTCTCTACTAAAAATACAAAAAATTAGCCAGGGGCAGGGCGCGGTGGTTCACGCCTGTAATCCCAGCACTTTGGGAGGCCGAGGCAGGCAGATCACGAGGTTAGGAGATCGAGACCATCCGAGCTAACATGTTGAAACCCTGTCTCTATTAAAAATACAAAAAAATTAGCCAGGCGTGGTGGCAGGCGCCTGTGGTGCCAGCTACTCGGGAGGTTGAGGAGGAGAATGGCATGAACCTGGGAGGCGGAGGTTGCAGTGAGCCAAGATTACGCCACTGTACTCCAACCTGGGGGACACAACAAGGCTCCGTCTCACAATTAAAAGAAAAAAAAAGTAGCCAGCAGGGTGGCAGGCACCTGTAATCCAAGCTACTGGCAGGAGAAATCGTTTGAATTCGGGAGGCAGAGGTTGCAGTGAGCCAAGACCGTGCCATTGCACTCCAGCCTGGGCAACAGAGCGAGACTCTGTCTCAAAAAAAAAAAAAAAAAAGAATTCTATGTTTTAATTCTCTGATTATTCATTCATTTCTTTCTTTTTTTTTGAGATAGGGTCTTGCTCTGTCAGCCAGCTGTAGTGTGGTAGTGCAATCATAGCTCACTGTAGCCTTGAATTCCTGGGCTCAAGCAATCCTCCCACTTCAGCATCCCAGGTAGCTGGGACTACAGGCTCACACCACCACCTGGTTATTTCTTTTTCTTTTTTTTTTTTTTTCGGTAGGGATGAGTCTCACTGTGCTGCCTAGGATCGTCTTGAGCTTCTGGCCTCAAGCAATCCTCCCACCACAGCCTCCCAAACTGCTGGGTTTACAGGAATGACCCATGGCCTCCTTCCTTCAATGATGCTGATTTCTTCGGTTCAGAAATTATGTATCACAATCTACATGGGCCTGCATAACCTTTATACATAAAAATGCTTGTGAACTGAAAGGTAAAAACTAGAAATAAAATCTACTACAACTATAATGTAGACAACCTATAAATTTCTTATAATGAGACTTGCTTTATAACTAACTTGTCACCTTGTTTTGACTAAACAAAGATAGTGGATAAATTTGCTACCATGCCTATCTCTCTCAAAACCAAACTGACACTTCCATTTAAGGAGCTAAGTATCTCTAAAGATAATTAATAAAAAGCACCGTCAAAAAGGTTAAATAATAGTGCCTGCTTGCTTTTCAGAGCTAATTTCATCCAAATGAAGGCATTTATAAGAATTACCAAAGGTGAAAGAAGCTGAAATACTAATCTACTGTATGCAATTGTTTGTATGTTAAAATGTAAGAAATTTTTACTTACCTGAACTACTTATAATTGGTTCTAAAGTACTACTAGAACCAGAAAGTTCTGCTGTTTTTGCAACAGGCACACTAAATGTAAATCCAATCTGTAAAGAGAAAGAATATCCTTATACTTCGTTTTCAATAAGTATCAAATATAGAGCTTTTTTATTCCCCCGAGACGGAGTCTTACTCTGTCGCCCAGGCTGGAGTGCAGTGGCGCAATCCTGGCTCACTGCAACCTCCGCCTCCCGGGTTCACGCCATTCTCCTGCCTCGGCCTCCCGAGCAGCTGGGACTACAGGAACTCGCCACCACACCCGGCTAATTTTTTGTATTTTAGTAGAGATGGGGTTTCACTGTGTTAGCCAGGATGGTCTCGATCTACTGACCTTGTGATCCGCCCGCCTCGGCCTCCCAAAGTGCTGGGATTACAGGCGTGAGCCACCGCGCCTGGCCCAAATATAGAGGTTATTTTTATCCCAAGTCAAAAACATACTTTCACCTATTTTAAGATATAGTTTATAATATTTCACTATCTCTAAAAGTGAGATTCTTATATTGAATGGCAATGTCACAGTTTAACAGGCAGCATTTTAAATTTCTCAGGCACTTTTTCTTTCAAAACAGTATATAAAATAATGATGGTGTGTTCCTAATGCCCAGTTCCAATTTCTGAATGCCATTTTCTTTCCTTTTTTTTTTGTTTTGAGGTGGAGTTTCACTCTTGTTGCCTGAGCTGGAGTGCAACGGCACAATCTCGGCTCACTGCAACCTCTACCTCCCAGGTTCAAACAATTCTCCTGTCTCAGCCTCCTGAGTAGTTGGGATTATAGGCGTGCACCACCATGCCTGGCTAATTCTGTATTTTCTTTTTTTTTTTTTTTTTTAGTAGAGACGAGGTTCCACTATGTTGGTCAGGCTGGTCTCGAACTCTTGACCTCAAGTGATCCACCTGCCTCGGCCTCCCAAAGTGCTGGGATTACAGGCATGAGCCACCGTGCCCGGCCTCAAATGCCATTTTCTAATAAAAAGTATGACACTTCTGGGGCAACTGATGGATTTCAGCATGTGGCAAGGAAATTACATTTGATCTGTAACATCTACTTGTGTCAGAAGACAAGGACACAGTCAAAACTAGAAAATGACATATTAAAATAATATAAACATGCCAAATCTGGGGCAATTTGAATATTAAACTACGTGTTATTCTTACCCCAAACATTCACTTTTCAATCATGAAAGAAAAAAATGCCCAGAACTTTTCTAGATTAAAGGTAAATCAAGACACATGTTTTAACTAAATGCAATATCATGTAGTTGATTAGGTCCTAGTCTTTAATTGGCTCTAGGACCAACAGAAATAAAACAGCAATTAAAGGACAGTCTGGGGATAATGGGGAAATCTGAATATGGACCATGTCGTTATTATATCATGTCAAATTTCTTGGGTATGATAGCTGTATTGTGGGGATGCAAAGGAATGTCTTTTTTCTTAAGGGACACATGGAGAAGAATTAAGGAAATCCAGTTGTTTGCATTTTAACTTTCAAATGGTACAGAAGAAAATGAATATGCATACATATGTACATTATGTAGTGAAGAATACATGATTGTTCAAAAGTTTTTTACACAGAGTATTTTTTAAGTTGGAAGAAAAATAACAGTGTTTCTCACCACCAGTGGCATCTTAGATTTGATAAAAATATAACATGGCTTTGAAATCAGTAAATATATACTATTCCTTGCTTGTTACTTACAGATGATGGAGGTAGTACATTTGCCTCAGTAGATTTTACGATTGGAGATGAAAATTTAAACATGGGACTGCCAGTGCTGCTCGGAGAGGTCATTTGTACCTGGTTTTCCAAATTATTAAGAAATGATACAAAAAGAGCTTTTTAGAAAAATAAAGTGACAAAAAAGACATTAAGCAAACTGATTATTCCAAAGACACTAAGTATTTTTTCCTTTTAAATTTAAAAATCTCACTTTAAATTCTGAAAAACACAGAACTGTGTTATAAAATGTGGCTTCCTCTAAGGAGTACACACAATCTTAGAGGTGGATATTTGTATAAAAAAGTAAAGTAACATCTATAAGAATATGTTCAGAAGAAGTGAAAGCAAGAAAGCAAGTATTAAAATTTCAGGAGCAGGCCAGGTACAGTGCCTCACACCTGTGATCCCAGCACTTTGGGAAGCCATGACAGAGGGAATTGCTTGAACGCAAGATTTCAAGACCAGCCTGGGTAACACAGCAAGACCTCACCCATAAAAATATTTTTTGGCCAGGAGTGGGGGCTCACGCTTGTAATCCTAGCACTTTGGGAGGCCAAGGCAGGCGGATCACCTGAAGTCAGGAGTTCAAGATCAGCCTAACCAACATGGTGAAACCCTGTCTCTACTAAAAATACAAAAATTAGCCGGGCATGGTGGTGCGCACCTGTAATCCCAGCTACTCAGGAGGCTGAGGCAGGATAACCACTTGAACCCGGGAGGTGGAGGTTGCAGTGAGCCAAGATCGTGCCACTGCACTCCAGCCTGGGTGACAGGGCGAGACTCAAGCTGAAAAAATAAATAAATATTTAAAAAAAAATTTTTTTAATTAGCTGGGTGTGGTGGTGTACACCTGTAGTCCCAGCTACTCAGGAGGCTGAGGTGGGAGGATCACTTGAGCCCAGGAGATGGAAGCTGCAATGAGCTGTGATTGCACCACTGCTCTCTAGCCTCGGCAATACAGCGAGACACCATCTCAAAAAAAAAAAAATTCAGGAGCACATTAAAAGATGTTACGCCTAGCTGAGAAGTAAAAACATGAAACATTGAGTGCACTCCTACCCAAAAAGCATCTTACTGGAAACATTATTTGGAAACAAATTTACAAGAATATCCTTCTCTATGGTATTGCATAAGAGTTGAGGAACACTCCATTATAATGTATCCAAGATATTTGTACATTTTTTTAAAAAAGCAAAACAGCATTTCCATTTCTCTGTTTACTATGTTATTAATTTCCATAATGAAAATTAAACACTGTTTATAATATAGGGTTTTTTTTAAATAAAGAATTAAGAAAGAACAAATGTCACCTGTATTTATATAATGGTTTTGTACCTTGTTTGTTAATGCTTGAGACGAATTGATGGGTGATGGAGAGGAAGTTGTGATCTCAGGGGAACTAAAATTAAAGGTAGGCAGTGAAGAACTGGTGATCGGTAGAGAGATTTTCGGTAATACTGGAACTTCCATTTCCTAAAACATAACATGTTGCATGATATATTTCATCTTTCACATCATTCTTTTATCTCTACTTATTTTCAGCATGAAAGTATACAGGAAGAAGATGGTACCATGTAGTGTTAACATTATGGGTTCTTCAATCAGAAAAACTGAACATGATTTTTAATCCCAGCTGTGCCACCAACCAGCCATTTGACTTGGGGAACCTAACTGCCTTCTGTACCAATTTCCTAATTGGTAAAACTGAGGGAAAAAAGATAGTAATTCTTACGATATACTACAGTTGTACTAATATGAAACATAAAGTTATATATAGTAGCCTACCTTATCCATGGTTTCAATTTCCAGTTTCCCTGACCCATGGTCAACCATGATCCAAAGATATTATATACAATAAGATATTTTGAGAGAGAAAGAGACTACATTCATATAACCTTTATTACATTATAGTGTTATAATTGTTCTATTTTATTGTTGTTGTTAATCTCTGACTGTGCCTACTTATAAATTAAATTTCATCATAGATATGTATGTATAAGAAAAAACACAGTATATACAGGGTTCAATATTATCTGCAGTTTCAGGTATGACCTGGGATTCTTGGAACATATCCCTTGCAGATAAGGGGGTGAGGGGGAGCATTATATGGTCTTGGCATGTGAAACAAGCATTTAGTAACTGTCAGTACTGAGGAGTCTGGAGAGCCACTTTGATTTTTAACCCAACTGAACAAAGAGCACCCTAAGTCTCCAATGATCCCTAGATAAAGAACAAACAAAATGAGTTCCACTTGTGCTAAACGCAGAGTAGCTTCTACCTGATAAACGTTTAGATATATGATAAACTCTGGAAAAAAGTATAAAGAAACAATCATCTGAAGGCACAAGAGCAACCAAAAGCAAGAAGAAACTGGATGGGAGAGGACACTTGGAAAATGGGAAGGGCACTGAGTAAGCTTCCTGTTCTCTTCATGAGTTGCTGCCACTGAATACCTGAAGTTCTGAGAGAAAACAGCAAACGTGTTAACTGAACAATCAGCCAGAAAAGGAGGTGAGATGCAGAAATGAAGAGCCACAGAAAGGGAACCTCAAAGTCTACATATAAGCCACCCGAATCTCTGGTGGACCTGTAAACTACACAGCTGTAAGGCAGACTCCAAGCTGCCAAAGAAAACTAAAAAGTTTCAGCTGCTGCCTACCACAGGGGAGACAGAATGAGTTCAGAGAAGTCCATTGCCAGCTAAAATAATTTGAATACTTCAAATGGATGCAGTTTATTGCAAATAAATCACAGCTCAATAAAATTGATCCAAAAGCCCAAAGCAAAATAAAGGCACTTCCAGATAAAACAAAGAATCTACTTCTATAAAACCTGCTCTACAAGTTCTTCATGCTGAAAGGAAATGTTACCAAATGAAAATTCAGATTTCAGAAAGACATGAGGAATATGTGAGCAAACAAAAACTTTTTTCTCTTAATTTCCTTAAAATATATTTAACTATATAAAGCAAAAAGTACACATTGAATTTACAGCCTCTCCAGATGTAATACAAGTAAGTACAGCATAAATGCCAGGGAAGACAGGTAGTAAATCTAACTACACAGCTGCAATCTTGTTATTTTTACAGGATGTGGTATGAAAGTAACATAAAGTAATCTGAAAAACATTATGGAAGACACAGAAATCCCAAGAGAAACCACTAAATAGTGCAAAAGAGGGAGAGTTAAAAATCTAACAAATAAATTAAAATGACTTGTAATCCTAGCACTTTGGGAGGCCAAGGCAGGACAGCTTGAGGCCAAGAGTTCGAGACCAGTCTGGGCAACACAGCAAGACCCCGTCTCTATAAAAACTAAACAAACAAAAAACTAGCCAGGTGCAGTGGCATGCCTGTAGTCCCAGTACCTGGGAGGCTGAGGTGGGAGAATGGCCTGAGTCCAGGAGTTCGAGGCTGTAGTGGGCCATGACTGTGCCACTGCACTCCATCCTGGGTGACAGCAAGAACCCATCTCAAAAAACAAAAACAAAACCAATAAAAACAGAATTATAATAATAAATATTAAATAATTAAATAATAAATATTCCCTTAACCCCCAAATGGCAGCTTTCAAAAGGAACAACAGAAAACAGTGGATGAATGATAGCCCTCATTCCAACCATATCAAAAATTATATTAACTATAAATGGATTTGGTGTTCCAATTAAAACACAGAAAATGGACAGAAAGGCAAAACTCAGTTATATGTTGTTTACCTGAGACCTACTTTAAATATAAACATGGACAGGCTCAAAGTATATGAATGGAAAAAGATATGCCCTGAAACTACTAAGCATAAGAAGGCTTATTCCAGTAAGAGTGGCTGTATTAATACCAAAGTAGATTTCAAGACAAAAAATATTTCCAAAAGTTTTTTTTAAAAGGACACTTAATAATATTAAAAGGACAAATCACTATGGAGCCATAGAATAAATGTAAAGTGTATGCTCTCATGAGGGCCTCAAAATCCATGAAACAAAAATTGAGGTTAGGCATGGTAGCACATACCTGTAATCTCAGCACTTTGAGAGGCCAAGATGGGATGATCGCTTGAGCGCAGGAGCTCGAGATCAGCTTGGGCAATACGGTGAGACCTTGTCTCTACAAATAATTTTAAAAATTGGCGAGGTATGATGGCACATGCCTGTGGTCCCAGCTACTTGGGAGGCTCAGGTGGCCACGCCACTGCACTCCAGCCTGGGTGACAGAGTGACATCTCATCTCAAAAATAAATAAATAAATAAATAACCAAGGGGATAAGACAAATTCACCAAATAAAAGTTGGCAATTTTAACCCCCATCTCTCAATAATTTAACAGGCTAACCATACCCTCCCTCCCCATGAAAAATGAATAAGAACAAAGATCTAATACTATCAGCTTACTTCTACAGATCACTATACCCAACAACTACAGAATATATTTTCTTTAAGAATTATCAAGCAGACCATACAGTGAACTATAAAACAAGTCTCAATACATTTCAAAACACTGAAGTCATAATCTCAATCTTTTTCTAATCACAATGAAATTATATTAGAAATCAATACCCTCCCCCCCAAATATTAGGAAATTCAATACATTTCTAAATAATCCATGGGTCAAATACAAAAATCAAAAGAAATTAGAAAAACTATAAAAGCAAAATTACAATGCTTCTAGAAGCAAGCACAGGAAACTATCTTTGTAGCCCGGGGATAGGCAAAATTTTCTTAGGACACAAAGAAGAATAAAAATATTAGAAAAAAAAATCCAGTCTTCATAAAATTTAGAACATCTGCCAATCAAAAGATATCATTAAGAAAATGAGTAGGCAAGCAACACTGGGAAAAAAATATTTGTTAAGAAATGTATCTGACAAAGTACCTAGGTCCAAAATTTATAAAGACCTCCTAAAACTCAGTAAGAAGACAGCTGGCTGGGTGCGGTGGCTCATGGCCTGTAATCCCAGCACTCTGGGAGGCCAAGGCAGGTGGATCACCTAAGGTCAGGAGTTCGAGACCAGCCTGACCAACATGGTGAAACCCATCTCTACTAAAAATACAAAAAAAAAAATTAGCTGGGCGTGGTGGCGCACACCTGTAATCCCAGCTACTAGGGAGACTGAGGTAGGAGAATCACTTGAACCCACGAGGCGGAGGTTGCAGTGAGCTGAGACCACGCCATTGTACTCCAGCCTAGCATTTGGTAGGCCGAGGCGGGTGGACTGCCTTAGCTCAGGAGTTTGAGACCAGCCTGGGCAACATGGTGAAACCCTGTCTCTAATGAAATATAAAAAATTAGCCGGGCATGGCAGTGTCCGCCTGTAATCCCAGCCACTTGGGAGGCTGACACGGGAGAGTTGCTTGAACTTGGGAGGTGGAGGCTGCAGTGAGCCAAGATCGTGCTACTGCACTCCAGCCTGGGCGACAGAGCGAGGCTCCATCTCAAAAAAAGAACTGAACAGACACCTCACAAAAAAAGATACACAAATGGCCAATGAGCACATAAAAAAGAACACAATACTATTAGTCATCAAGGAAATGCAAATTAAAATTACAATGAGATACCACCACACACAAACCAGAATGACTAAAATTTAAAAGATGACTATCAACTATTGGTAAGGATACAAACTAAATAAAATGTTCATACACTGCTAAGAGGGATATAAAATGGCACACTTTAGAAAACAGTATGATGGCTCCTTAGAAAGTTAAACATACAACTTAGCACCTCTTCTTCCAGGTATTTACCCCAGAGAAATAAATTTATTTACGAAAAGACCTGAACAAGAATGTTCCTAGTAGCTTTACTCACAATAGCCAGGGACAAAAGGATACATAGTGAGTAACTATATGAAGTTGCAGAACAAGTGAAACCAGTACATGGTGGAAAAAATGAGAACAGTGATTGCCTCTGGGGTAGGAGGTGACGGCAACTGACTGAGAAGGAGGACAACTGAAATTTCTAGGATGATAGAAATATTCAATCTCTTGATAGGGCTTGCATTACACAGATGTAAGCATTTGTCAAATTTATTAAATGGCACACCTAAGAATTTAACATTTCACTATATGTCAATTTTGCTATGTTATAAAAAGAACAACAAATATTTAACTCTACTTCACGCTATGTATGCTGACGTATTTGGGGGTGAAGTGTACTAATGTCTTCAACTATCTTTAAAATGCACCAAAAAATAAAAAAAGATGGACAGGTAAATTTTTCTTTTTTGATAAAGCAAATGTAACACAAAATGTTGGAATCTAACTGCTACTGTGTGTATACGCTGCACAGTTCTTTCAACATTTCATGTTTGAAATTTGTCATAATCAACTGAGGGAGGAGGAACAAACAAAAGATGCATCTGGCTATTTTTGTAGGGAAGCTTCTCTTCTCTGTCCAACCTCCAGCGTAGAACCCTAAAAACATCAACTATATAATCTACTCTCTCATGCCAACTCCTTAAGGCACACACTTGTCCACACTGGTTCCTTATATTACTGACCTTGAACCAATTTTTTTTTTTTTTGAGACGGAGTTTCGATCTTGTTGCCCGGGCCGGACTGCAGTGGTGCGATCTTGGCTCACTGCAACCTCTGCCTTCTGGTTTCAACCGATTCTCCTGCCTCAGCCTCCCAAGTATCTGGGACTACAGGCACCTGCCACTACGCCCAGCTAATTTTTGTATTTTTAGTACAGACAGGGTTTCACCATGTTGGCCAGGCTGGTCTCGAATTCCTGACCTCGTGATCCGCCCACCTCGGCCTCCGAAAGTGCTGCGATTACAGGCATGAACCACCGCGCCCAGCTGACCTTGAACCAATTCTATCATTTGATTTCTACTCCCCCAAATTTTGACTTAGTAGATCATAAGTGGGTCCCACTAATCTAAGAGGAAAAAAAAGCCAAGAATTCTGCTAACTTGATGCTTAGAGACATCTCAAGTAGAACACACATTTCACAATTCACTATCTAATACCTTTGTAATATCCTTACATGGGTTATCTCATATGAGGTAGATACTATTGTTACATATGAAGAAAGTAAGGCAGGGAGATATATGGCATAATACCATACAGCTATTAAGTGGCAGAAATCTTACAGACATGAACACAATATTTATTCTTATTTCCATTTTACAGATAAAAAAACTGAGGAGGTACACAAGAGGTTAATTTGACCAAGGTCACCCAGCTAGTAAGTGGCAGGATTATACAAGACAAGAGCAAGCAATTAAGTCTCTCCAAACTCAAGTCTTCTTATATACTGCTACATGTTTTGTATACTGCTACATGTTTTGTATCAATGAGCTTTTTAACAACACACACAAAAAAACTCATGGATTGATTGGTAGGACAGTAAAAGCAAAAGGCCAATATATTTAATGACTACAATCCTTGCACATTTTAGAATCCAGGATAAGGTGAAAGGTAAAAGATCATTCCAAATGGGTAATTTTACATATAGAGTTCTATTAACCTGAATTTAATGGATCAGAATACATCCATTCCTGCTAAATAGCAACACTATCTGAAATCAGTTAGCATAATGTGTTTACATTTCATTAAAACTAAATCTCTTCCATGTCACTCTTCCAAAGGCCCATGAAAATGCCGCCCCCACAAAAATAACTTTAATCTTATTATTACTTTTTTTTTTTTTAAGACAAAGTCTCAATCTGTCACCCAGGCAGGAGTGCAGTGGTACGATCTCAGCTCACTGCAACCTCCCCCTCCCAGGTTCAAGCGATTCTTCTGCCTCAGCTTCCCGAGTAGCTGGGATTACATGTGCCCGCCATCACACCCGGCTAATTTTTGTGTTTTTAGTAGAGACGGGGTTTCACCATGTTGGCCAGGCTGGTCTCGAGCTCCTGACCTCAGGTGATCTGCCGGCCTCAGCCTTCCCAAAGTACTGGGATTACAGGTGTGAGCCACCGTGACCAGCCAATCTTTTAATTTTTTACCAAAAATTCCCACTAATTATAACTGAAGAAAGAAACAATTTGTGGTCTCAACATATCTGACTTCTGATGCAAACAAGCAGCACTGCATTCAAAACAACTATATAATTGTGTATCCAAACCTATTCTATACAGATATAAAACACAAGGTAGGGCTGGGCGCAGTGGTTCAACCCTGCAATCCCAGCCCTTTGGGAGGCCAAGGTGGGTGGATCTCTTGAGGTCAGGAGTTTGAGACCAGCCTGGCCAACATGGTGAAACCCCATCTCTACTAACAATACAAAATTTAGCTGGGCATGGTGGCGTACGCTTGTAATCCCAGCTACTCAGGAGGCTGAGGCAGGAGAATTGCTTGAACTCAGGAGGTGGAGGTTGCAGTGAGCCAAGATTGCGCCACTGCACTCCACCCTGGGAGACAGAGCAAGACTCTGACAAATAAATAAACAAACAAACCACAAGGTGGGCAGAAAGTGTGGGGCCAACATCACATTAGTACCTCTTTCCTCAGAAATGTGGACATTATAACTTCAGGGTGGAACAGAGCCAGTGATGGGAAGGACTGGGTGAAGAATCCTGTGACACAAAATTGGCAGTTGGCCAGAATGAAGAGAAGAGGCCCAAAGAGGGGAGGAGGTGATACAAACATGAGTGAAGAGGAGTTTTTTTTATTTGTTATTTTTTTAAAGACAGAGTCTCCCCAGCTGGGGTGATCCTCCCACTTCAGCCTCCCTGGTAGCTGGGACCACAGGCGCTAACCACCATGCCTGGTTAATTTTTGTTATTTTTTTGTACACGTGGGGTTTTGCCATGTTGCTCAGGCTAATCTCAAACTCCTGGGCTCAAGCAAACCTCCAAACTTAGGGGGCACCAGGTTTTTGAAGAAAGGAAAGCTTTACTTAGATAACCAACAAGGAAGACAGGAGTCCAGCTCAAATCTGTCTCCCCGCAAATTGGCCTTAAGGTAGTATGTTTATTAGGAAAGGTTTAGGGGGTAGATTCTGGGGAAGGAAAGAGGAAGTCTGAAAAGTCCTTCGACGTGCACAGTTGTCTCTTCATGCCTCTTTATGGGCCACATGTGCAAATTCTGGAGTAGCTGGAATGAAATGTGGAAATTTGGGCTGTGATGTCAGCAAGCTCAGTCTGCACAGACTCTAGTTGGTCATATTAGTTCCAGCCAATTTCAGTCAGTTTTGTTATCTTGCAAGTGGAGAGGGCTTTAGCAAGCTGTTTCTTATCTGCCATCTTGTAAGTTCAAGAATACCTGTTAGCCACTGATTTCTTTAATTCTTTGGAGCATGGCTTCACCTTCAGCTTCAGTTTTTAAAAATAAAAGTTCTGAGATCTTCGGCTGAAGCTCAGGTTGATTATTTATAGCTTAGTTTTGGCTGTCTTGCAGATACATGTTTGGTGTGACTTTGCTGTACTGAACAGTTTATTAATATTAATAATATTTTGCTCTTATTTGTCCGGTATACTAAAAATTATTTTCTGGCTAGGCACAGTGACTCACACCTGTAATCCCAGCACTTTGGGAAGCAAGGCGGGTGGGGATCACTTAAGGCCAGGAGTTCGAGACCAGCCTGGACAACATGGCAAAACCCCGTCTCTACTAAAATAAAAAAATAAAAAAATAAAAAAAAAAAAAATAGCTAGCCTTGGTGGTGCATGCCTGTAATCCCAGCTACTTGGGAGGCTGAGACATGAGAATCACTTGAACTCAGGAGGTGGAGGGTGCCATGAGCCAAGATCGTGCACTCCAGCCTGGGCAACAAATAGAGTGAGACCCTGTCTCAAAAAAAACAAAACAAAACCTGGTGCCATGGTATTGGCTTCTGTGCTCATCAGGCAGTAAGGGAAATGAGCAGTATCTATACAATGCATCATCTGGCAAATAAAGCTAACCTGTATTTTCCTCATACAGAGATAAACTTCACAAAACATGCTACAGATTTTACCAGGAAATGTAAAAACTTGTCAAAAAAAATAAGCTCATGGTATATGAATCAGATATTAGGTTGGTGCAAACGTAATTGCAGTTTTGCATTATAACAATTTGCCACTTGATAATTGGAATACATTCTTAAATGTGGTTACATTATACATCATTTTAATGCAAATTTCTTGCTTTATGTTTTTTAGCTGATGACTTACTACTTGCTATTTATTTTATATTATTTTAGACTGTGGAAATGATGTTAGACAAAAGACAAGTTCGAGCGATTTTCTTATTCGAGTTCAAAATGGGTTGTAAAGCAGCAAAGACAACTTGCCAACATCAACAACACATTTGGCCCAGAACTGCTAATGAACATACAGTGCAGTGGTGGTTAAAGAAGTTTTGCAAAGGAGGCTGGGCGTGATGGCTCACGCCTATAATCCCAGCACTCTGGGAGGCTGAGGCAGGCAGATCATTTGTCAGGAGTTCAAGACCAGCCTGGTCAAGATGGTGAAACCCTGTCTCGCTAAAAATACAAAAAATTAGCTGGGCCTGTGGCACATGCCTGTAATCACAGTTACTCGGGAGGCTGAGGCACAAAAATAGCTTGAACCCAAGAGGCAGAGGCTGCAGTGAGCTGAGATCATGCTACTGCCCTCCAGCCTGGGCCACAGAGCAAGACTGTCTCAAAACAGAAAACAAAACAAAACAAAACAAAACACCCAAAGAAGCACACAATAACAACAAAAAACAAAGTTTGCAAAGGAGACGAGAGCCTTGAAGATGAGAAGCATAATGGCCAGCCACTGGAAGTTGACAATAACCAGTCACTGGAAGTTGACAAGGACCAATTGAGAGCAATCATCAAAGCTGATCCTTTTAAACTACACAAGAAGTTGCCAAAGAACTCAACGTTAGCCATTCTATGGTCATTCACCATTTGAAGAAAATTGGAAAGGTGAAAAAGCTCAATAAGTGGGTGTCTCACAAGCTGAGTGAAAATTTAAAAAATTGTTTTGAAGTGTCGTCTTCTCCTATTCTATGCAACAACAAACCATTTCTCAGATTGAGACATGGGACAAAAAGTGGATTTTATACGATAACCGGTTACGACCAGCTCAGTGGTTAACCAAGAAGTAGCTTCAAAGCACTTTCCAAAGCCAAACTTGCACACAAAAAAAGGCCATGGTCACTGTCTGGTGGTCTGCCGCCGGTCTAATCCACTACAGCTTTCAGAATCCCAGCGAAACCACTACATCTGAGAAGTCTGCTCAGCAAATCAATGAGATGCACCAAAAACTGCAATGTCTGCAGCTGGCATTGGTCAACCGAAAGGGCCTACTTCTCTACAACAACACCCAATGGCACACTGCACAACCAACGCTTCAAAAGTTGAAGGAATTGGGCTACAAAGTTTTGCCTCATCTGCCATATTCACCTGACCTCTCGCCAACTGACTATCACTTCTTCAAGCATCTCGAAAACTTTTTGCAGGGAAAACACTTCCGCAACAGCGGGATGCAGAAAATGCTTTCCAAGAGCTTGTCGAATCCCAAAGCACAGATTTTTGTGCTATAAGAATAAGCAAATTTATTTCTCGTTGGCAAAAATGTGTTGATTGTAGTGGTTCCTGTTTTGTTCAATAAAGATGTGTTTGAGCCTAGTTAAATAATGATTTAAAATTCATGGTCCAAAACCCCAATTACTTTTGTACCAACCTAATAAATTCCTTATTTACACAAGGTAAGACAGCCCATTTCTTTTGTTTTTGTTTTGTTTTGTTTTTGAGACAAAGTCTCGCTCTGTTGCCAGGCTGGAGTACACTGGTGCAATCTTGGCTCACTGCAACCTCCACCTCCAGGGTTCAAGTGATTCTCCTGCCTCAGCCTCCCGAGTAGCTGGGACTACACACATACGCTATCACACCCAGCTAATTTTTGTATTTTTAGTAAAGACGGGGTTTCATCATGTTGGCCAGGATGGTCTCGATCTCTTGACCTCGTGATCCGCCCGCCTTGGCCTCCCAAAGTGCTGGGATTACAGGCATGAGCCACCGTGCCCAGCCGCCAACCCGTTTCTTAAATATAATTAATAAAGAGCTTTAATGACAAAAGAAAATTGGTTTGCTACAAAACCTATAAAATTTATATACTGTTTGTATGATCAATGGCATTCAAGGTATTTCCTTTTCAGATAATGATATACAGTAATAGATTCCCTCCCTTCACAACACTCTAGTAGAGTGAGAAACAGAGACTAAAGGAAAGACAGAGCCTCCAGACCAGCAATAGAGCCAAGTCTACTAACATAATCCCAAAGCTCATTACAAGTCAATTTATATGGCAGAAAGTGAAAACTGCCAAGGAGGTCATAATTCTGGTGAGCTATAGTACTGCTAGCTAGGAAAAGCATAGTTAAAAGGAAGCAAGGCATCACACTCCAAACCTGCAGAGCAAAATACCAATAGGCATGAAGAAATCTAAGACATCCAACAACTTCAACCAAAACATGATTTTGTTTCTGTCAATATAAATAGGAAAAGCATGTTTAAAAAGCTAAAAATATACTCCTAAAACTCATTGGTCAATGAGGGAGTCACTGGTGAAATTTTAATTAGAAACAAATGACAAATACAAGGACTATGTATCAAAACTCAAATGGTTAAGCTAAGCTGAAATGCATTTATAATACAACTAAAATGAGACTTGCATTCAACTTAAAGTAGTTAGAAAAAAAGAGCAATATATAGACAGAAAGGTTAATGTAACCAATCTTAAATCTGTCCCTATCTTTTCCAAACATTTATGGTCAGAATATATAGAGAACTCTTTCTAATAATAAATTATATATACATATACATACATATTTCTTAATATACATATAAGAAATTATATATATATCCCTACAGGAAATAACCCCATAGGAAAAAAATGGATCAAGAGAAAACTCAAATGTCCAAAAAACACACAAAAGGATGCCCCAAGATCTATCTATTGTCATATGGTGGAAATGTTGAACTGCAAAACTATCTTGAAGAGAAAACATGGCAACATCTAATACAGCAGAAGATGTGGATCATCCCCTATAATCCAACAATTCCATTCCTAGATAAATACTCTAGAGAAAATACTGCACGTGTGCAGACAGAAAAGTGCATATTCACTTTAATGTGTATTAGAAATCTACCAAAATGTATCCTGATGGCAGAATGGATTACGGTAAATCTTCAAACTGGATAAATATATAAGCAGTGAAATTAAAAAACTTACAGTTACCTTTCACAATACAACATCAAAAAAGGAGAAACAGGCAAGCAAGAAGAAGACAGGCAGGGCACGGTGGCTCTCGCCTGTAATCCCAGCACTTTGCAAGGCCGAGGCAGGTGGATCACTTGACATCAGGAGTTCGACCCAGCCTGGCCAACATGGTGAAACCCCATCTCTACTAAAAATACAAAAATTATCCAGGTGTGGTGGCAAATGCCTATAGTCCCAGCTACTTGCGTGGCTGAGGCACAGGAATTGCTTGAACCCAGGAGGCAGAGGTTGCACTGAGCCGAGACTGCGCCACTGCACTCCAGCCTGAGCGACAGAGCAAGACTGTATCTTAAAAAAAGAAGAATACGTATAGTATTAATCCTATTTATGAACTTATTTACGTATGTTTTACAAACAGACAAAACTATACAGTAATACCAAGGGTCAAATAATTTCAATTGCAATTCCCTTATTTGAAAAAGTATGGGTAGTTTTGTTTTGTTCTATGATACCCATGAAATTTAAGGTACTAGATTAGGTTTTCAGCATGCATTTTGAAAGAACTGATTCAATAGCAGATTAATTTTGCTCTGGGTCTCTTCGAACCCCACCCCTACAGGTCTCCCCTTACCACCACCACACCAATGCTTTTTAAATAAACCTCAAGAGTATATGAGTATACAACCCTACCTCCTCCTCCAGAGGTTTAGAAGCAACAAAGCGTGTTCTTTCTCGTCTCATCTTGCCACCTCCACCACCTACTCCAGAAGATAAACCATTGGCTGCAGGCAAACTGAAATTTGGATATGAAAAGCCACTGGCAAATAAAAAGAAAATTAAAACAACTGATATATTATTGTGGTCCATAACTTGTTAACTAGAACTGCTAACAAGTAAAAAAAAAATATACAGCTGAACGTGATTCTAAAATCTTAGATTTCTTTATATAAAGTTTCTGTTCTTTGATTTTAATCTTCAAAAAGGTACATGTAAATTAAATACAGACCTTACAAGTTAAATATAAAGAAGTATAGCTGTATAAGAAATGACAGTACCTTTCTCGTTGTTCTCTATTTTGTCCGGGTGTCATATTTTTTTCATATCCAGTCTGCAGGGGAAATACACACATATTTACGTTTGCTTATTTGTTGTAATTTTCTTAGTACCACCTTGCTTCCTATTAATTTTAATATTTAGAATCAGGAATTTGATGGCTTTTTAGTTAATGAATCCTGAAATTTGAAATTACACCCTGCCTTCTGAATGGTAACCAAGAGTTACAGTGAGATTATATATATGAAAAATGTCAGTGAGCACAATCATTATTTTAATAAAATGGTAGTATACAGACAATACACTCACTAACCTAACCACAAAATTACTTTACTTATCCCTCTTTTTGTCCTGTTAATTGTGCAACCAAATATACAAAGCTATTCCTTTCGAAATAGCTCCCTACAACTTAAAGAATTAATACTTCCACTGAAAGGAATCAAGACTTCTTGGAAAAATGGCTGATTACAGGGCTGGGGCAGGAAATGCATGTGATGAGCCTGAATTATCTTATAATATCAAAAACCAATTAAGTGCTCAAAAAGATACAGGCAAGAATCATCAATAATGCTAACACTAGTGGCTGAAAAGAATATAATTGGGAAGTTTCCTTCCCACAAAATACTTATTCATTACGAAAGGTAAAATAGTAATTTTATAGTAGAGAATCCTCACAGACACCACTTTATGTAATAACCACACTGCCAGGAATGGGACAAACTGGTAGCCTGTGCCTTCTGAACAGTGAGAACAGCTCAGCACACTCCCTCAACGGTCTTCACTGCCAAAAGTAGGTAACTGAAATCTAATCATGAGGAAACATCAGACAATCATAAAACTGCAGAACATTCTACAAAATAACTGGCTTCTATACTTCAAAATTATCAATATTGTGAAACACAAAACAACAAGAACAAAAAACAAAAGGAACTGTTCTAGACTAAAGGAGATGAAGAGACATGACAACTAAATGCAAGACATGATGTTAGAATTTCTTCTTTTAGGCCAAGTGACAACATGTAAATAGAATCTGTAGATTACAGTGTTGTGCCAATGTTAAGTTTCTGGGTTTGACCACTGCTATGCATTATGTAAGGGAACTCCTTGTTAATAAGAACACAGAGAAAAAGATAGAGCAAATGTAGTAAAATGTGAAGTTCATGAAATTTTTCTTGCAAATCTGTAGAAGTCCAATATTATGCTAAAAAGAAAAAAATACACACACACACACACACACACACACACATATATATATATATATTTTGAGTCAGGGTCTTACTCTCTCACCCAAGCCAGAGTGCAGTGGTGCTATCACAGTTCACTTTAGCCTCGAACTCCTGGGCTCTCACGTGATCCTCCTACCGCAACCTCCTGCCTTGCTAGGATTACAGACACGCACCACCACATCTGGCTAATTTTTTTATTTCTTCTAGAGATAAGGTCTTGCTATGGTGCCTGGGCTAGTCTTGAATTCCTGGACTCAAGTGATCCTTCTGCCTGAGCCTCTCAAAGCACTGGGATTATAGGCATGAGCCACCATGATCACACTATGTTCAAAATATTTTTCAAAATTTTAATGTTAACTTAAAAGTATGGAGGGAGATAAAGCAAATATGACAAAATGTTAATGACTGGTGAATCAACATAAAGAAATACATGGCAAATCACTGTACTAATCTTTCTAAGTTTCAAGGTTTTCAATAAATTGAGTTGTTAGAAATGAGATAAAATATAACTAAAGGCATAAACAATAAGGTGTTAAGTAAACAAAATAAATACAAGTTAAATGACACAAAAAACCAGACAAACCCAGATTATGGGACATTTTATAAGACAACTGGCCTGGTCTCTTCAAAAACCTATGATCCAGCAATTCTATTTCTAGGTATAAACCCAAGAGAAATAAAAACATGTCCACACACACAAACACACAAAAAAACACTTATACATAAATGTTGACAGGAGCATTATTCATTACAGCCAAAAAGTAAAACCAACCCCAATGTCCTTCAAGTGATTAATGGATAAAACAAAATCTAGTATATCCATACAATGAAATATCTACAAAATCTAGTATTCCTTACAATGAAATATTATTCAGCCATAAAAAGGGAAAAAATGAAGTACTGATACATACTACGACGTGAATGAACCTTGAAAACACTATGCTAAGTGGCTACTGACGGGTATGGGTATGAGATTTTCAAAGGGTGGGAGAGATGGTAATACAAATGTTCTAAAATTTACCATTATGATGGCTTAACAGTTGAACAACTCACAGACACCACTTTATTTATAAAGTGTTTTCCAAACATGCTAAAACCACTGAATTGAAAACTTTAAATAGGAGAATTGTATGATATGTGAATTATCTCAAGAAACAGAAACCAATGTGGCCAGGGTGAGGGTTTGAGGTCTGGAAAAACAAAACCAAAAGCAGTATCTGAACCTTGCTCGAGTCCTGGTTCAAAAAAGCAATTATGAAAAACGTTTCAATATGGACTGGATATTAGATAATTTTAAGGAATTAGAATTAATTTTCTTAGATGGGATAATATAGGACAAAGTACTTAGGAGATGCATATCAAAGTACTTAGGGTTCAAAAGATAATGTCTGAAATTTACTTGCAGATAGTTCAACACCACCACATGAAAGAAACAGATAAAGCAAATCCGGCAAAATTATGTAACCTAAACAATGGGTACATGCTAGAGTTTACTAGTCAACACTAACTTAAGATCTGACCAAGGTAGTGGCCAGGCGCGGTGGCTCACATCTGTAATCCCAGCACTTTGGGAGGCCAAGGCAGGTGGGTCACTTGAGGTCAGGAGTTCGAGACCAGCCTGGCCAACATAGTGAAACCCTGTCTCTACTAAAAATACAAAAATTAGCTGGGTGAGGTGGCACATGCCTGTAGTCCCAGCTACTCGGGGGGCTGAAGCAGGAGAATCACTTGAACCCGGGAGGCAGAGGTTGCAGTGAGCTGAGACCATGCCATTGCACTCCACCCCTGGAGACAGAGTGAGACTCCGTCTCAAAAAAAAAAAAATTTGATCAAGGTGACAGCTATTTTAAAAGCATACCAATTCATAATCATCACTAATTCACAACCTTTATGTGTTATACAGTTGCTAGAATACAATGGTAGTTATATTTTACATTATTTAGTCTTACTTATTCTAATCAATATTCAAAGACTGGTAGAAATATACATATACTCACACTGCACTTGTTATCTATTCTTTGATTAGTCTTCCTGAATTCACCAGAAGGAGTCAGAGATGGTTTAAAATAAACACTTCGATTTGTTGCTATGGAAACTGGCTTTGGGGTCATAAGTCTCTGAACAGGAGGATATTGAGAATCCACCTTACAGGTAAAGAGAAATCAAAAACATTTATTTTCATATAAATCAATGATTCATATCTAAATTTTGACAATAGCTAACATGACCTAAAGACCATGAGTATTTCCCAGAGAAATATACAGTAGATACAAACAAATAAGAGGAAAAACTGATAATAATGGAACCTAAGGTATGTATTCATATACCTATGCACATAAATATACACACATATAATTCTAAAATGGCTTCACGGATACTCTATATTTCATTCCAGACTTAATGACTTTTCACACACATGCATGCATACAAAATGGAACTATATTCAAAACAGCACTACAGATCAAACCTTTTACAGTTTTTTGTTTTTTTTTTTTAAGAGACGGACTCCTGCTCTGTCACCCAGACCACAGCTCACTGTAGGTGAGACCTGGGTGATCCTCCCACCACAGCCTCCTGTGTACACAGGCGTGCGCCACCACACCCGGCTAATTTTTTTGGTTTTTTTTTGTAGAGACAGGGTCTCGCCATGTTGCTCAGGCTGGTCTCAAACTCCTGGGCTCAAGCAATCTGCCTGCCTCAACCTCCCAAAGTGCTGAGATTACAGACATGAGGCAACTCACCTGGCTTTTTTTTTTTTTTTTAAATGGAGACTAGGTCTTGCTGTGTTGCCCAGGCTGATCTCAAACTTCTGGGCTCAAGCAATCCTTCTGCCTCAGCCTCTCAAAGAGTGCTGGGATTACAGGCATGAGCCACTGCACCTGGCCCAGAGTGAATTTTAAATGCATGAACTAAAATGTACTTTTGTCACATTTTCCCTGAATTACTGTCCATATTTTTTGAGCTGCAAATAAGATATTTTAAAACTAGCTATGGGCCAGGCGTGGTGGCTCACACCTGTAATCCCAGCAATGTGGGAGGCCGAAGCAGGTGGATCATTTGAGGTCAGGAGTTTGAGACCAGCCTGGCCAACATGGTGAAAACGTCTCTACTAAAAATGTAAAAATTAGCCAGGCGTGGTGGCATGCGCCTGTAATCCCGGCTATTCAGGAGGCTGAGGCAGGAGAATCGTTTGAACCCGGAGGCAGAGCTTTCAATGGGCCGAGATTGTGCCACCGCACTCCAGCCTGGGAGACAGAGCAAGAGTCAGTCTCCCAAAACAAACAAAAAAACTAGCTATGAAAATATTTTAACTCCCAAAAATGTGACCGAATCCCTCTCCAAGTTATTTCCCCCATTGTTATTTAAATACCAAACCAAACCAAAAATCTTACAATGTAAGTCTAAATGGTAAATCACTGTTAAGACTTCCAAACTGTAAAATGAACTCAATTTATTATGTAAGTACACCAACTGTTTTGTTAACAGTCCTTTGCTAAACTGAAACATAGTAAAAATCCTGTTGGTATAAAACCACTATAAAGCCAGAAGCTTCTAACTCTGTCCAAAGACTGTAATCCTATGAATAAGGTCCTTTCATTCAGCAGCAGCTGTGAACAACATTGGTTTCCAGGGCAAAGCCTCTGTATGGTTACTAACTCTTCCCTAAAACCTCTTCGCAAATGTGACCTTACATACAACTCAATAAGAGAGTCTATTTTGTAGACTGTTCTGATAACATCTGTGAAACATGGGCTATGATACTGTATTCTGGCTTTTTATTTCTTAGCACCCATTAATAAACTTTTATGGATACGATACTCAACCATTAGTAAAACTGTTATTGATAAGAACTTACATTATGACATAATTTTAAAATTTCACCTCTTATTATAAAATAACCTGATATAAATGAGGGGTTGAGAAAAGCTAGTAGCTTAAATTAAGCCCATCATAGAAACTACTAATAGATTCCTTCTTGCCTAATTCCAAATGTCTAGGTAATTCCAAAAATTGAGAAGCAACACTCTTCCAATAAAAAGTTCAATATTAGCTTTCTTTGCATCAGAATTTCATTACAGATAATAATTTATCAATATCTTAGTCATTGCAATTAATTCATAAAATTATAATTTAAATAATTACTTTTGAGGAACTTGGTATTCCAAGAAATGTTTTCAAAAGAAAAATCCAAGCCAGGCACGGTGGCTCACGCCTGTAATCCCAGCACTTTGGGAGGCCGAGGCGGGCGGATCACGAGGTCAAGAGATCAAGGCTACCCTGGCTAATACGGTGAAACCCCATCTCTACTAAAAATACAAAAAATCGGCCAGGCATGGTGATAGGCGCCTGTAGTCCCAGCTACCTGCGAGGCTGAGGCAGGAGAATTGCTTGAGCCCTGGAGGTGGAGGTTGCAGTGAGCTGCGACTGTGCCACTGCACACTCCAGCCTGGGTGACAGAGCGAGACGCTGCCTCAAAAAGAAAAGAAAAAAAAGAAAAATCCAACAGTCTGCTTTCCCTGAAGGATGCTTAACCAGCTATAAATAAACTAACAAAAGATACCTCTTTAACCCAAACTATCAAACATTGTATTTTTTTCCCACAGTAACCGCCAAAGTTAATTTTAAGCAAATAGGATATATTAAAAGGGCAGCAAGATATAATGATCAACTTTATCAGTTCCACTATCTTGAAACAGTATTTTGTTTGGCTGATGAGAGATCTGCCTAATTGAAATTCTACTACACACAATAGATTTCACAAAATTTTGGTTAATGAGGAAAGTATACAAAGATGATGATGTGCAATGAGGACTTTAGTTTACTGAACTTTTTTTTTTTTTTTTTTTTTTTTGAGATAGAGTCTCACTTTGTCTCCCAGGCTGGAGTGCAGTGGCGCGGCCTCGGCTCACTGCACCCTCCGCCTCCCGGGTTCAAGTGATTCTCCTGCCTCAGCCTCCGGAGTAGCTGAGATTACAGGTGCGCACCGCCACACCTGGCTAATTTTTTTTTGTATTTTTAGTAGAGACAGGGTTTCACCATGTTGTCCAGGCTGGTTTTGAACTCCTGACCTCAAGTGATCCACTGGCCTGGGCCTCCCAAAGTGCTAGGATTACAGGCGTAAGCCACCGCACCTGGCCGATCACTCCTATTTTTATTTATCAAAAGGTAACAGTAAGCCATAAAGTCTGTCAAGATCCTCAAGATGGAAATGCTGAATAGCCCAAAAAAAAATTGGATGAGTATCTACTACATATACAATATTGTCCTGAGGACTGCAGAAGAGAGTAAAATGTCCAAGTAGAAGAATACTATTTTTCAGGGTCAGGCACAGTGGCTCACACCTTAGTCCCGGCACTTTGGGAGGCCACGGCAGGCAGATCACCTGAGCTCAGGAGTTTGAGACCAGTCTAGCCAAAACGGTGAAACCCTATCTCTACTAAAAATACAAAAATGAGCAGGGCATGATGGCACGTGCCTGTAATCTCAGTTACTAGGGAGGCTGGGGCACGAGAATCGCTTGAACCTGGGAGCCATAGGTCGCAGTGAGTCAAGATGGCACCACTGCACACCAGTCTGGATGACAGAGCGAGACTGAGACTCAAAAAAAAAAAGAATATTATTTTTCAAACATGTTCCCTAATGTCTAAACTAAATCCAATTTGTATACTTGTGAACTTTAAACACAACAAAATTGTAGACAGTTTAAATAACTAAATGCTAAAGAAGTTTTACCTTTTCTCTTTTGGCCTGAAAATCTGTGATATCTATCCCACTCCTATCAAGAGGCTGAAAAAAAAAAAAAACACTATTAGAATAGATGGGGAGTTATGAAAAATACCTTTTTTTTTTTTTTTGAGATGGAGTCTCACTCTGTCGCCCAGGCTGGAGTGCAGTGGCGCGATCTTGACTCACTGCAACCTCTGCCTCCCAAGTTCAAGTGATTCTCCTGCCTCAGCCTCCCAAGTAGCTGGGACTACAGGTGTGCACCACCACACCCGGCTAATTTTTGTATGAACAATATTTTGTAAAAAGGTTTAAATCTCAACTTACAGAATTCAGAGGAGAAGAAACAATGGATGGAATTCTTTTTGCATCCTGTTAAAGTTGAAAAAATAACAAAATTAAGATTTTTCAATAATATCAAGTTTTGTTACACTCCTGTATTAATCGTGATTTTAAAAATTTACCGCTAAAGGGCTTGACATCTTCTCTAAAGACTGCAATATTCGCCGAGCTGTTGAACTGGTCACACCGTAAGATTGTGCACTGAGTTGCTTAGCTTTCATTTGTCTTCTAACTGGTGCCTGTAAAGTAAACCCTATATTATTTGTTGCAACATAAAATCTAAGGCACATATTTCATGCAGTGAAAATATTTACAAGATAGAATGGATGTCCAAAGTAAAACAGGATTTAATGCATTAACAGCAATTTATCTTTGGGTGGTATCATTAAAAGTTCAATTTTTTTCTTTATGCCTTTACTGGAAATCCAATTCTCTGATTGAGAAATTACCTTTACAATAACAAAAGAATGATAAGACAGCATGCACCATTTTAAAGAAAGTATGGGCCGGGCATGGTGGCTCATGTCTGTAATCCCAGCACTTTGGGAGGTGTGAGGAGGGCGGACTGCCTGAGCTCAGGAGTTCAAGACCAGCCTGGGCAACATGGTGAAACCCCATCTGTATTAAAATACAAAAAATTAGCCAGGCGTGGCAGTGTGTGCCTGCAGTCCCAGCTACTCGAGAGGCTGAGGCAGGAGAACTGCTTTGAACCCAGGAGGCGGAGGTTGTGGTGAGCCGAGACTGCACCACTCTACTCCAGCCTGGGCAACAGAGCGAGACTCTTTCTCAAAAAAAAAAAAAAAAAAAAAAAAAGTACTACACGCTAGCTTAAGCTTTAGAAAAAGCTCTCTACATACTTACACCATTCTGTTAACCCCTTCGGTAATAACAGAATACTGTCCTCCACCAACACTCAGAAATAAGTCTCATAATTACTGTTAATTATATATGGGAGAATAAACAGGAAAGCAAGTACAACATCTAAAAACAAGACAAAAATCTTCAAATATAGGCATTTCATAGTCACTGCTGCCAATATATGTATATAAATACAACAGACTTTTGTATATTGACCTTGTATCCTGTGACCCTGTTAAACTCGCTTATTAGTTGTGGTGGCTTTTTTTGTATTTTCTTTGGATTTTTCTACGTAGATAAGCATGTTATCTGTGTACAGTAAAAATATTACAGGAATAATACCCTTTCCAATCTGCATGCATTGATTTCTGTGCCTACTGCACTGGCTAGCACCTGCAGTATGATGTTAAACAGTAGCAGTGATAGCAGACATCCTTGCTTGCTTCCTCATACCATTAAGTATGTTGCCAGATGATTTTTTTGTAAATGCACTTTATCAGGTAGAAGGATCTCAACTATACCTAGGTTTGTTCAAAAATTTTTATCATGACTAAATGTTGGATTTTTAAAAAATATTTTATGTATCTATAGAGATGTTCATATAGTACTCTTTAGATTGTTTACATGGTAAATCCCATTAATTTTTTATTTTTTATTTTTTTTTAGACAGAGTCTCAGTCTGTTGCCCAGGCTGGAGTGCGGTGGCACAATCTCGGCTCACTGCAACCTCCGCCTCCCAGGTTCAAATGATTCTCCTGCCTCAGCCTCCCGAGTAGCTGGGATTACAGGCACGTCCAACTGCAACCGGCTAATTTTTGTATTTTTAGTAGAGATAGGGTTTCACCATGTTGGCCAGGCTGGTCTCGAACTCCTGACCTCAGGTGATCTAAGGCCTTCCAAAGTGCTGGGATTACAGGCATGAGCCACCACACCTGGTCTAATCCCATTAATTTTCATATGTTGAGTCAACCTTGCCTTCCCAGGATAAACCCCACTTGATCATGATGCAGTTTCCTTTTTAAATTTGTTGGATTCCATTTACAAATATTTTTGTTGAGGTTTGTGTCTATAATTCATGAGAAATAATAGTCTGTTGCTGTCTTCTAATGTCTTTGTCTGATTTTGGTCTCGGGGTAATAATGTTGGCCTCATAAAAGGTACTGGGAAGTGTTCCCTACTCTCCTACTATACATAAGAGTTTGTGTAGAATTGGTATTATTTCTTTCTTAAATGTTTGGTAGGATTCACCAGGGAAGCTATCTGAGCCTGAAGCTTCTTTGCTGGAACGTATTTTAAATTATGAACTCAATTCACTGAAAAGATAAAAGTTATTCAGGCTACATATTCTTGACTAATACCAAATAACAAAAGTCTAACAAATAAGTCTAACAAAATATGTTCGAGATCTGTATGCTGAACACTACAAAACACTGATGAAAAAAATTTATAAACCACCTAAATGGGAAGATATACCATGTTCATGGTTTGGAAGACTCAATTTTGTTAAGATGCCTATTCTCCCCAAATTGGTCTTTAGACTCAAATGCAATCTCAATCATGGCTGGGCATGCTGGCTCATACCTATAATACCAGCACTTTTGGGAGGCCAAGGTGGGCGGATCACCTGAGGTCAGGAGTTCGAGACCAGCCTGGCCAACATGGTAAAACCCTGTCTCTACTAAAAATACAAAAATTAGTGGGGCATGGTGGTGTGTGCCTGTAGTCCCAGCTACTTGGGAGGCTGAGGCAGGAAAATTGTGTGAACCTGGGAGGTGGAGGTTGCAGTGAACCAAGATCATGCCACAGCACTTCAGCTTGGGCAACAGAGCAAGATCCCATCTAAAAAATAAAAAAAGCAATTCCAATCAAAATCCTAGCAGACTGTAGAAACAAGCCAATTTTAGATTTTTATAGAAAAGCAAAGGACCTAAAAAAGCCAAAACAAGCTTGAAAAAGAACAAAATTGGACTACTCACATCACCTAATTTTAAGACCTACCGGGAAGCCTATGGCAATCAAGACAGTGCAGTTGGCAAAAGGAAAGACACACAGATCAATGGGTGGGTCGGGGGAGGGATGGTCAAAAGTCCAGAAATAAAGCCATGTGAACTGGATTTCAACAAAGGTGCAGGCCAGGCCTGGTGGTTCATGCTTGTAATCCGAACACTTTGGGAAGCCAACACAGGAGGATCGCTTGAGCCCAGGAGTACAACACCAGCCTAGGCAACTTAGTGAGACCCTGTCACTACCAAAAAAAAAATTTAGCTGGGAATGGTGGCACACGCCTGTGGTCCCAGCTACTCAGGAGGCTAAAGTGGGAGGATCACTTGAGCCCAGGAGGTTCTGGTTGCAGTGAGCCATGATCGTGCCACTGCACTCCAACCTGTGTGACAGAGCAAGGCCCTGTCTCAAACAAAAACACAGAACAAAGACGGTGCAAAAGCTATTCAATGAACAAAGAACAGTCTTTTTAACAAATAACACTAGAACAATTGCACACCCATATGTTAAAAAAACAAAAAACAAAAAACAAAAAACCTTGGCCAGGCACACCTGTAATCTCAGAACTTTGGGAGGCTGAGGCAGGAGGATTGCTTGAGCCCAGCAGTTCAGGATCAGCCTGAGCAACGTAGTAAGACTCCTACCTTTCATTTTTTAAAAAAACTTTTTAATTTAGAAAATAAAATGAACCTTGACCAATACCTCATACCACACACAAAAATCTACTCAAAATGAATCATAGGCATAAATTAAAACCTAAAACTATAAAACTTGTAGAAGAAAACATAAGACAAAATCTTTGTGACATGGGATTATAATAGTAAAAATATCTCAGATACGACACCAAAAGCATGAAACCATTAAGAATACACACACACGCACACACACACACAAAAGATGTCATCAAAAGTAAAACTTCTGGCTGGGCGCGGTGGCTCACGCCTGTAATCCCAGCACTTTGGGAGGCCAACGCGGGTGAATCACAAGGTCAAGAGTTCGAGACCAGCCTGGCTAAGATGGTGAGAAACTCCGTCTCTACTAAAAATACAAAAATCAGCCAGGTGTGGTGGCAGGCACCTGTAATCCCAGCTACTCAGGAGGCTGACGCAGAGAATTGCTTGAACCCAGGAGGTGGAGGGTGCGCCACTGCACTCAAGCTTGGGCGACAGCACAAGACCTGTCTCAGAGAAAAAAAAAATAACAACTTCTGCTCTTCAAAAGACACTGTTAAGATACACCAGAGAATGGGAGAAAATATTCGCAAAACATATAACAAAGTATTTGTACCCTGAAAAATGAACTCTCTCAAAATTTATTAATAAGAAAATAACCCAATTTTTAAATGGGTGGAAGATTTGAACAGACACTTCACCAAAGAAGATATTTCACCAAAAGATAGGCTGATAGCAAATAAGCACCAAATAAACACATGAAAAGACATGCAACATCATTAGTCATTACGGAAGTACAAATCAAAATCAGAAGTTGGGGTTACCACTACATGCCTACTAGAATAGCAAAAACAAACAAAAAACCTGACACCACCAAGTGCTGACAAGGATGAACAGCAACTCTTATATTACCAGTCAGAATGAAACCTGGTACCAGCCACTCTGGAAAACAGTTTGGCAGTTTATTATAAAGTTTACTGTATACTTACCATATGACCCATCAATTCAACTCCTAGGTATTTGTATTTACCTGAGATGAAAATGAATGCTCACAAAAAACATTCATAGCAGCTTCATTCATAATTGCCAGAAACTGGAAACAACTCAGTGTCTTTTCACTGGTGAATAATAAACCAACTGTACTAACCATACTACTCAGCAATAAAAAGGAACTATTAAAAGATGCAAAAACAAATGGATCTCAAATGCATTATGCTAAGTAGAATAAGCCAGACTCAAAAGGTTACATATGACTAAACGTATATGACATTCTGGAAAGGCCAAAACTACAGAGAAAGAAAACAGATCCGTGGTTGCCAGAGGGTTGTAGGAGAAGGGTTGACTCAAGAGATACATAAGGTAACGTTTTGGGGTGATGAAAATGTCTGATCAATATTTGATTGTAGAAGTGGTTATATACATAATAATATGTTTTGTTAAAGCTCAAATACTCTAAAACAATGAAAAATTGTAGTATGTGTAATTTATACGTCATTTAAAAAAAAGAATCACATTTCTTGAGATACACGCACATATCTAATACATAAAACACTCACTTAGGTCTAAAATAATGTTTATATACCCTAAATGAAAAAAATATAACCCATAGCTGTTGTTTTCCCAAAGAACAATATTAAATCAAAACTACTGGCCGGGTGCAGTGGCTCACGCCTGTAATCCTAACACTTTGGGAGGCCGGGGTGGGCGCATCACGAGGTCAAGAGATCATCAAGACCATCCTGGCCAACACAGTGAAACCCGTCTCTACTAAAAATACAAAAAATTAGCTGGGCGTGGTGGCATGTGCCTGTACTCCCAGCTACTTGGGAGGCTAAGGCAGGAGAATCGCTTGAAACCAGGAGACGGAGGTTGCAGTGTGGTCCGAGATTGTGCCACCGCACTCCAGCCTGGGCGACAGAGCCAAGACTCCATCTCGAAAAAATATAAATAAAAGAAAAATAAAAAATAAATCAAAACTATTTTTTTGAGCACAAAGTAATTTATTATCCAGTTAAAGTGTAAAAAAAAAGAAAAAAAAAGATCATCAACCCTTCTATTGGAACCTACCTGATAAGGTGTATTTCGTAGTTTAGACTGTCTTACAGCAGCTGCTGCCCCACCGTATGTTGTTTTTCCAGGATAAAAAGGAGAATCTCCAAGCTGACTGGTTTTAAGGATTGAAGAATTCCCAAGTGACTGCACAGAAACAGAATGATAAATTATAAGCCATATGAACCCAGGAGGTGGAGGTTGCAGTGAGTTAAGATCATGCTGCTACACACTCAAGCCTGGGCAACAGCAAAAGACTCTTGTCTCAGAAAAAAAAAAAAAAATTATAAGCAATAAACACTCAAAACTAATGTGATTAAATCCAACCCAGTTAGTACTCACAGGGGAAAGTGTTCCAAAGGCAGACAAGTTGAATGCTGGTTTTTTTGAGCTGGTGGCAGTGTGCTGTGAGAGTGAGTGAGAACGTTCAGCTTCTGGGGACCACAGAGGTGGCAATGAAGTGTTCTTTGAAACAGTTATATCTGAAACAAAATTACATAATCCATAGTAATAACACCAATACAAGAGCCTAGATTTTTATAAATAGAAAATAAAAATTACAACCAAGTCAGAAAAAAAACCCATAAAATTTAATGTTACTACCCAAATTATGTACTACCACATGTCAAGAATACCTTTATCAGAAGCTCTTGAAGAAAAACCACTGGTAGTTGAGATGTTATCATCATCATGCTGAGAGGTAGAATCTTTAATTTCCTTTACAAGGGAAAATCCCGAACTGCCAATTGGGAATGCCGAGGATGTAGATGGCTGACAGTGTAATGCAGGGGATTCCAACATGGAAAAATTCAGATGGCTCCGATGAAGAGAAGGCCTTGTTAACACATCTGGATAATTTGAAGCAGTACTAGTTGTTGAAGGTTCTTAAAAGAAAAGCATTAATATTATGAATATACAACTTAGAGCGATACACTACCACAAATGGTTTTTACTTTAAGAAAACACATTACAGTATATAATAGCTTCAATTCAAATCACTGGGGCATCCCATAATAAGCCCAATATAACATACTCCTAGGCAAAACAAAGTTTCAACTAACTAAAATTAATTTAAATAAGAGCTAATTTTTTTAAACCAGTAAGAGTGATGTGATACGATACAACAGTTGAAATACAACTATTTTTTGCCAGTTGATTAAACCCATTCACTTTTTTGATGGTGTATTTTGTAATACAGAAAGTAACTTCTGCCTTATAGTCCTATCATTCTGAGACCATAAAAAATAAGTTTTACCCGTATTTTGATACTGTTGCTTTTATTTCAATATGTCTAATCTTGACTCCCATCTGAAATTAGTTATGATGCAGGAGTAAAGAAAGGATTCGGCTTCACTGTTTTCCAAATGGTTAACCTGTTTATAACCTAAGGTAATCTCTTAAATAAGCCATCCTTTCCTCAATGATTGAGAAGCCACTGTTACCACATACTAAACCATACTAAATTCCCAGAGTCTTTATTCCTCTCTTCCTCTAATGATGTATCTTTATACTTCTGCACGAGTACCAAATGTTTTAAATATTATGCTTTAGAATTTAATGCGTGTTGAAGTTACTCCACCCCACCTTCCCGTTATTAAAATATTAAATTATTAAAATAAATCATTTTTCAGAATTTGTCTTCAGAGGCATTTTCAAAAACTTTAGAATTGTTTCTAAAGTTCCCAAAAAGAGGCTTCCAGTTAGAACGGAATAAGTGGGACCAGACCAGTCCTTCTACTGTAAACAATTATAAGACTGGAGAAAAAATATGAAGCTACTGCTTTCAGACAGTGGAAAACAGCACAAAAAAAAACTCACAAGGTGAGCCCTACGATTACCCAGCTCTCTGTCTAGGAACATTTTCAGACCTTGAACAGAGACCTAGAGTCAAGTAAAACAGAGCGGGAAGAAATCAGAATTTAGGACACTGCAGAGTAGGGAACTGTGCAGAGAGGGTCTCCCAGAAATCCACAAGGGAGTGTCCAGTGAGCAGAGAGGCTGCACATACCTATATCAAGACCACCTAAGCCTTACGCAGCAGCTGCTATGGAGTTGAGAAAACAGAGATACTAGACAGTGTACCGTGCTAGGGGAAAAAAACAATGCTGAGGACTCTCAAGTTTTAGGGCTGCCAGAATTTAAAGATCTCATTACTAATGGCATTCAGCTGATGTACCAAAAGGTTCGCCCTTAAAAATAAGGAATAAGTATATAACTAAAATAAGACCTACTACAGATCTCTCCTAAAAAGCCACAGGGGAGACAGAGCTTGGAGGCTAAGGCCCACCACATTGGGAGGCTTAGGAAACACCCTGGACTTGTCCCCACAAATATACATTAATACAGCACAAAACTACATCTACAGAAGTTCAAAATTATCATTAACTGAACTGCCTGCTAAAAACAAGAACCAACACTCTTCAGAGGAAGATGACAGAACCAAGAGTCTCTACACATTATCATTCAAAATGCCAATATAGTAAAAACTCAATGTATAGAAAAAAGAAAACTGTGATCCATGCACGGGGGTAGGGGGTGGGGGAGAGTAGGTGTTAGAAACTTTAACCAAAGGTAGCAGACAAAGACCTTAAAACATTTAGCATTACAAGACTTTAAAGCAGCTATCTGGAATATGTTCAAAGTTCCTAAAAGAGCCCTTAAAATTATTTTGACTAGGATCACACTGAATTTAAGATTTTTAAGAAGAACTGATAGCATTCCCAACACTGCTTTCCTACCCACCTTTCCTTTGGTTCAGATCTCCTTTATGTCCCTCAGTGGAACTTAAGAGAATTTCTTCTTTTAGAGTGTCACACACTTGTTAAAGTACATAATTTTTTTTTTCCTTTTTTTTTTTTTTTTTGAGACAGTCTCACTCTGTCGCCCAGGCTAGAGTGCAGTGGCGCAATCTTCGCTCACTGCAGCCTCCACCTCCCAATTGTTTGATATTACAAATGGGATCCTTTCTTCTTTCGTGTTTTCTGACTACTGCTTAAATAAGAGAGTCGTTAGGTATTTTTCAATATTAACTTTGTGTCAATTGCTAGAGTTTTCTTATTCTAACACATTACCACATCCCCATAACTAATTACATTCTTAATATCTAGAAGTGGTGGTGATGGACTTCTACCTTATTCCCAACTTTAATAAGATTGCTTCTAATGTTTCACCATTAAATATGATTCTGGGCTGGGCACAGTGGTTCACACCTGTAATCCCAGCACTTTGGGAGGCCAAGGCGGGCAGATGACTTGAGGTCAGGAGTTCAAGACCAGACTGGCCAACACGGCAAAATCCCATCCCTACTAAAAACACAAAAATTACCCGGGCATGGTGGCACACGCCTGTAATTCCAGCTACCTGGGAGGCTGAAGCACGAGAATTGCTTGAACCTGGGAGGCAGAGGTTGCAGTGAGCTAAGATCTTGCCACTGAATTCCAGCCTGGTTGACAGAACCCTCTGTCTCAAAAAAAAAAAAAAAAAAAAAAAGATTCTGGCCTTTGGTTTGAAAAACTGACATGTTAAGGAAGTAACAGTTTCTAAACTCCAAATAGAAATAAAGAGTGAATTTTAAATTTTAGCAAATGTCTATTTACTAAAAAGCAAAAATAAGATCATTTTACCTAGTAACATGGTAAACTATATTAAACGCTGAATGATTACTTGCATTCCTTGATTAATGCTCTCCTCAGTAAGTATTTTGTGATGTGCTGCTAGACTGTATTTGCCATTCTGTAGTGTTCTTCTATGTGCTATCTTCCTAAAAAATTGTCTTGGCTGGACACAGTGGCTCACGCCTGTAGTCCCAACACTTTAGGAGGCCAAGGCAGGAGGATTACTTGAGCCCAGGAGTTCGAGACCAGCCTGGGCAACATACTGAGACTTCATCTCTACTAAAAATTTAAAAAGTCAGCTGGGTGTGGTTGCACACAGCTGTAGTCCCAGCTACTCAAGGAGGCTGAGGTGGGAGGATCACTTGAGCCCAGGAGTTCAAGGCTGCAATGAGCTATGATGGCACCACTGCACTCCAGCCTGACCAACAAAGCAAGACTATCTCATTTAAAAAAAAAAAAAAAATAAGTCTTAACAAATATTTTACAGCTTAAGCAATACAAAACAATTCTGGATTATTTAGTTCCAAAGTACTATAACAAAAAAAGCCAGCTGCAGATAAAAACACTCAACAAACTAAGACTAGAACGAAACTACAACATAATAAAGTAAAAAAACATGTTTGCAGATGATATAATCTTACATGTAAATAACAGTGAAGATTCAGCCAAAAGCTGTTAGAGCAAATTTAGCCAAGTACCAGGATACAAAAATCAACACAAAAAAATGTGTTTCTAGGCACTAATAATGAACAATCTGAAAAGTAAGAAAACAATTTCATTTATAATAGCATCAAAAAGAATAAAATATTTAGGAATGAACCAAGGTAAAAGATGTGCACATGGAAACTACAAAACAGTACCGAAAGAAAGAAAACAGAAATGGAAAAATATCCCACGTACATGGACTACAAGACTAAATATTGTTGGGATGTCAATACTATTCTAAGCAATCTACAGATTCAATATAACCTCTATGTAAATCCCAAAGACATTTTTGCAGAAATAGAAAACCCATCCTAAAATTCATATGGAATCTCAAGGAACCTCAAAATGCCAAAATAATCTTTAAAAACAACAAAAAAGTTGGAGGTCTCAAGCTTTCTGATTTTAAAACTTAATACAGAAGTACAGTAATGAAAACAATGTGGCACTGGTGAGAGAGAACAGGAGGTGGGAGGTAGTTTCTCCTTCACATATGTATTTTTTTCTTCTCTTCACAAAATCCACAAGACTACCTCGCTGATGTTACACATGCTAACCCTGAGGCTTTAGTCACAAAAAGAAAACAGCCATTCTTCGGTGCTCTCATAATAGGTAACCATACCTTTTAAAGAATTCCAGGAATTGCTCTTAGGAGATCCAAAATCAAACCAAGGTTGCAGAGAGTCCACCTCAGGAAGGAATGCGAAATAACTGATTTACAGCATTGTTGCCACCGGCCAGACCACTACTCAAGGTAATCATCGCAACCAGATATGCTGCCTTGCGTACCCTACCCTGCAGGTGCTTTGCCCAGCCCAGCCTGCATACCTTACCCCATGTCAATTCCTGCGCTTTGCCTAATAAAAAAAATTCCTACTGGCTTTTTCCGGGAAGCCAGGAAGAGGATCCTTGAGCCTCACCTCCACTGTTTCCCTTGCGCTCAAGCACAAGCCCTGAAATAAAAGTCCTGTCTGGGAAATCTGCTTGGGTCCGTGTTAATTTCCATTACATGGGAAACCAAAGAGCCTGTGGTCTGTAATACTGTAATAAAGACAGGCAATACAGACCATGGACGTGAACACAGGGCCCAGAAATAAACTACCATATATGATCAAACGATCTTCAACAAGGATTTCAAGACCACTCAATGGGAAAAGGACAGTCTCTTCATTAAATGGTTTTGGAAAACTGGATATCCACATGAAAAAGAATGAACCCTTATCTTGAACCATATACAAAAATTAACTCTAAATGGATTAAAGACCAAAGTATAACACCCAAAACTATAAAACTTATAGAAGAAAACAGAATTTCAGGACATGAGATTTGACAATGATTTATCAGATACAACACTAAAAGCACAGGCCATGGAAGCAAAAACAGACAAACAGGACTACATGAAATGTAAAAACTTTTATGCATCAAAGAATGTAATCAACAGAGTAAAAGGTCAACCTACAGGATGGGAGAAAATATCCACAAATTATATATGTGATAAGGGATTAATATCCAGAACATAAAAAGTACTCCAACCCCCAGTGAAAATGGCTTTTATCAAAAAGGCAATAATGGATGCTGGTGAGGATGTAGAGAAAGGAGAATCCTTGTACACTGTTGTTGGTGGGAATTATCAATTAGTACAGCCATCATGGAGAACATCATTGAGGTTTCTCACAAAAACTAAAAGTAGAACCACAATATGATCCAACAATCCCACTGCTGGGTATATATCCAAGTTAAAGGAAACTAGTATATCAAAGAGATAATCTGCACTCGCAGCACTATTCACAATAGCCAAGATACGGAATTGACCTAAGTATCCATCCACAAATGAATGGACAAAGAAACTGTGCTACATATACACAATGGAGTATTATTCAGCCATTAAAAAAAAAGAATTAAATCTTGTCATTTGCAACAATATAGATGGAACTGCAGAACATCACATTAAGTGAAATACACCAGGCACAAAAAGACAACTATCACATGTTCTCAAATGTGACAGCTTTAAAAAAAAAAAACGGACTCAAAAGAACTCATGGAAACAGAATAGAATGACGAATACCAGTGGGCAACTCATGGAGACAGAGAATAGAATGATGGTTACCAGAAGGCGGCTCATGCCTGTAATCCTAGCACTTTGGGAGGCCGAGGTGGGCGGATCACGAGGTCAGGAGATCGAGACCATCCTGGCTAACAGGTGAAACCCCGTGTCTACTAAAAATACAAAAAATTAGCCGGGTGTGGTGGCGGGCGCCTGTAGTCCCAGCTACTTGGGAGGCTGAGACAGGAGAGTGGCGTGAACCCAGATGGAGGTTGCAGTGAGCTGAGATCATGCCACTGTACTCCAGCCTGGGCGACAGAGCCAAGAACCTGTCTCAAAACAAAACAAAAATAAAAAACCAGAGATACTGTCTGGGGTTTAGAAATCTGCTGGTATAGGTATTTAAACCAATTAGCATTTACACATAATAAATATTTCAATTTATCTGCAATCAGGATTTACATACACATAGGTTGAAATGTTTCCCAGGGTATCAAGTATTCCAATATTACTGTAGTATATTACACTATGAACATGCTTTTTACTTATCCCATTCTCTCATCCCTGCATCAGTTTCTCCTATAGGAGAAAAGTGATAGGATAATTTTCTAACTCTTGGCAGACATCAACTAAACCTAGTATATACAGAAACCAAAGAGGAAAAAGAAATCCAACACAGGCCAGGTGTGGTGGCTCATCCCTATAATCCCAGCACTTTTAGGAGGCTGAGGCAGGAGGATCACTTAAGGCCAGGAGTTCAAGACCAGCCTGGGCAACACAGTGAGGCCTCACGTCTACTAAAAATTTTTAAAACATAGCTAGGCATGGCAGCACGCTCTTGTAGTCCCAGCTACCTGGGAGAGTGAGGAGGAGAATGTAAAGTGAGTCACACACGTTTTTGGTTTCCCAGTGCATACAAAAGTTATGTTTACACTACACTATAGCCTATTAAGTGTGCAACAGCATTATGACAATAAAAACAACATACCTACTTAAAAAAAAATTGCTAACAAATAACAATCTGCTGAGCCTTTAGAAAGTCATAATCTTTTAGGTGGTGTTAACAGGTCTTTGCCTCAATGTTGATGGCTACTGACTGATCAGGGTGATGAGTAGTGAAGGCTGGGTTGGTTGTAGCAATTTCTTAAAATAAGACAACAATGAAGTTTGCCTCATCGACTGACTATTCCTTTAACGAAAGATTTCTCTGTGGCATGCAATGTTTTTGATAGCATTCTAACTGCAGAATTTTCAAAATGGGAGTCAATCCTCTCAAATTTCGCTGCTGCTTTATCAACTAAGTTTATGTAATATTCTAAATTATTCTGTAATCTTAAAAATGTGCACAGTATCTTCACCAAGAGTAGATTCCATCTCACGAAACCACTTTTGCCAGGTGTGGTGGCTCACACCTGTAAGCCCAGCACTTCGGGAGGCTGAGGGGTGCAGATCACTAGGTCAGGAGCTCGAGACCATCCTTGCCAACACGGTGAAACCCCATCTCTACTAAAAATACAAAAAATTAGCTGGGTGTGGTGGCACATGCCTGTAGTCCCAGCTACTCGGGAGACCGAGGCAGGAGAATTGCTTTATCGCAGGAGGCTGAAGTTGCAGTGGGCTGAGATTGTGCCACTGCACTCCAGAGTGGGTGACAGAGCAAGACTGTCTCAAAAAAGAAGAAAAAAAAAAAAAAAAACACTTTCTTTGCGCATCCACAAGAAGCAACTCCTTATCCATTCGAGTTTGAGCATAAGATATTGCAGTAATTCAGTCACATCTTCATACTCCACTTCTAATTTTAGTTTTCTTTCTATTTCCACCACATTTGTAGTTCCTTCCTCCACTGAAGTCCTGAACCCCTCAAAGTTATCCATGGGGGCTGGAATCAACTTTCTCTAAACTCCTATTCATGTCAATATTTGGACCTCCTCCTGTAAATCACAAATGGTTTTTCTCCCCCAAATTAGCCTTGACTTGAAACTCAACAAATGTTCTTAATGTCATCTAGAATGGTGAACCTTTTCCAAAAGGTTTACAATTTACTTTACCCAGATCTATCTGAGGAATGACTATGATAGCTATAGCCATATGAAAGGTATTTCTTAAATAATGAGACTGGAAAGTCAAAATGCCTCCTTGATCCATGGGCTGCAGAATGGACATTGTATTATCAAGCATCAGAACAACATTAATCTCTATGCACATCTCATTAGAGCTCTTGGGTGACCAAATGCATTGTTAATGAGCAGTGTTGTTTTGCAAAGAATCTTTTTGTCCCCAAGCAAGAGGTCTCAACAACTGGCTTAAAATGTTCAGTAAACCATGCTGTAAATAGATGTGTTGTCATCCAGGTTTTGTTGTTTCAATTACACAGCACAGGCAGAGTAGATTTAGCATAATTCTTAGGAGCCCTAGGATCTTTGATATGGTAAATAAGCATTGGCTTCAACTTACAGTCACCAGTTGCATTAACCCCTAATAAGAGAGTTAGCCTATCCTTTGATGCCAGGCATTGATGTCTCTTCTCTGGCTATCAAAATCCTAGATGGTATCTTCTTCCAACGGCGGGCCATGTTTCATCTGAAAATATGTTGTTTAGTGTAGTCATCTGATAGTTTAGATGTTTGTCCCTCCAAATCCTATGCTGAAATTTGATCCTCAATGTTGGAAGTGGGGTCATGGGAAGTCTTTGGGTCATGGGGGCAGATTCCTCATGAATGGCTTGGTACCCTACCCAAGGTAGTGGGTTCACATGATATTTGGTTGTTAAAATAGTCTGGGACCTCCTTACTCTTGCTCCCTTCTCCCTCCATGTGACTGATATGCCTGCTCCCACTCTGCCTTCTGCCATGAGTAAAACCTTGAGACCACACTAAAAGCCAAGCAGATGCTGGTGCCATGCCCACACAGTTTGCAGAACCATGAGCCAAATAAGCCTCTTTTCTTTATAAATTACCCAGTCTCAAGTATTCCTTTATAGAATGCAAAATGGACTAATAAACCACCTTCGTCAGTGCTCTTAGCTAAATCTTCTGGATAACTTATTGCAGCTCCTACATCAGCACTTGTTGCTTCACCTTGCCCTTTTATGTTACAGAGACAGATTCTTTCCCTAAACCTCATGAATAAATCTCTGCTGGCTTCCAGCTTTTCTCCTGCAGCTTTATCATCTCCCTCAGACTTCACAGAACTGAAGGGAGTTAGGGCTTGCTCTGGATTACACTTTGGCTTAAGGGAATTTTGTAGCTAGTTTGATCTTCTATCTAAACCAACTCAAACTTTCTACACATCAGCAACTGGCTGCTTTGCTTTCATATTATCCTTTGTGTGTTTACTAGAGCAGCACTTTTAATTTCCATCAATAACTTTTCCTTTGCATTCACAAGTTGGCTAACTGGTGCAAGAGGCCTAGCTTCAGGCCTGTCTCAGCTGTCCACATGCCTTCCTCACTAAACTTACATACTTACAGCTTTTGGATAAAAGACGGGGAACTCTGATTTCCACTTGAACACTTAGAGGCCACTGTAAGGTTACTAATTAGCCTAATTTCAATACTGTCAGAGAATAGGGAGGCCCAGAAAGAGGGAGAAAAGAGGGGAATAGCCAGTTGGTGGAGCAGCTGGAACACACACAACATTTACTGATTAAGTTCATCATCTTATATGGGTGTGGCTCGTGGCACCCCAAAACAATTACAATAGTAATACCAAAGAGCACTGATCACCATGATAGATACATAATTTAAAAGTTTGAAATACTGCAAGAATTACCAAAGTGACAGACATGTTAGCGTGTGCTGGTGGAAAAATGGCACTGATCAACTTTCTTGACATGGGATTGCCACAAACTCAATTTGTAAAAAATGCAGTATGTGCAAAGTGCAATAAAATATGTATTTATAAAATTAATATTTAGTAAACAACTAAATTTATTTAGGACTGCCATATGTTAGCTTTCCAGAATCTGACACTACTTCAACAGCAGATATATAGTCATGTGCCACATAAGAACAGTCAACTAGTTGGGAGCGGTGGCTCACGCCTGTAATCCCAACACTTTGGGAGGCTGAGGAAGGTGGATCATGAGGTCAGGAGATCAAAACCATCCTGGCTAACACGGAGAAACCCCGTCTTTACTAAAAATACAAAAAAAAATAGCTGGGCCTGGTGGCGGGCACCTGCAGTCCCAGCTACTTGGGAGGCTGAGGCAGGAGAATGGTGTGAACCCAGGAGGCGGAGCTTGCAATGAGCCGAGATCGAGCCACTGCACTCCAGCCTGGGCAACAGAGCAAGACTCCGTCTCAAAAAAAAAAAAAAAAACTGTTATATAAACAGTTGTCCCATAAGATTATGAAGAAGCTGAAAAATCTGTATTCCCTAGTGACATCATAGCCATCCTAAGGCCTTAGTGCAATGCATTACTCAGGAGTCTGCAGTCATGCTAATGTAAATAAACTCAGTGTTACCAGTCATGTAAAACTAGAGCAAATACATTTATGTACTCTATAGAATACTATACTTGGTAATGATAATAAATGACTATGTAACTGTTTTATGTACTTACTATACCTTTTATCACTAGAGTATACTCCTTCCACTTACATTAAAAAAAAAAAATTGACTCACAGGTGGTGGCTCACACCTGTAATCTCAGCACTTTGGGAGGCCAAGGCAGGAGGCTCACTTGAGGCCAGTTGAAGCCCAGCCTAAGCAACAGAGTTTGACCTCGTCTCCACAAAAAAATTAAAAAAAATTTGCTGGGCGTGGTAGCACACGCCTATAGTCCCAACTACTTGGGAGGCTGAGGTGGGAGGATCGCTTGAGCCTGGAAGGTTGAGGTTGCAGTGAGCCATGATGGTGCCACTGCACTCCAGCCTGGGTAACAGAATGAGATCTTGTCTTTAAAAAAAAGAAAGAAAGAAAGAAAGAAAGAAAAAGCCAACTGTAAACAGCCTTAGGTAAGTCCTTCTGGAAGTATTCCAGAAGAAGGCATTGTTATCATAGGAGATGATAGCTCCATGGATGTTAATGCCCCTGAAGAGTATCCAGTGCGACAAGATGTGGGGGTAGAAAGCCATGATATAGCTGATACTGACTTTATGTAGGGCTAGGTTAATGTGCGCATGTCTTAATTGTTAACAAACCTTTTTTTTATTTCTTTTTTTTTTTTGAGACGGAGTCTCGCTGTCGCCCAGGCTGGAGTGCAGTGGTGCGATCTCGGCTCACTGCAAGCTCCGCCTCCCGGGTTCATGCCATTCTCCTGCCTCAGCCTCCGGAGTAGCTGGGACTACAGGCATGTGCCACCATGCCTGGCTAATTTTTTGTATTTTTAGTAGAGACGGGGTTTCACCATGTTAGCCAGGATGGTCTCAATCTCCTGACCTCATGATCCACCCACCTCGGCCTCCCAAAGTTCTGGGATTAACAAAGTTTTAAAAGTTAAGAAAAAAAAACAGTACTATAGAAAAAAAAAATTTTTTAAGTTTTTGAAGTAGATATCAAAATGCTGCCCACAACTTGCTTCTAAGTACATCAGGTGAGTTGGGGGTAGGAAGGTAGGGAAATAGGCGTGCGAATAGAGTATAAACAAGATCAACCGTGACTTGATTATTGTTGAAGCTCAGTAATGGGCAGCCGGGGGCGGGCGGCGGGGGAGGGGGGCGGGGAGTGGGGGGTGTCATTGTACTATCCTCTTTATTTCTCTAGGTTTAAAAATTTTCCATAATAAAGTTCAGAAGTTATACAAAAAAGCTTAAAGAATAAGGACATGTAACAGAAAATCCTCCTTATACATTTAATAATATAATGAATAAAATCAGTTTGAGTTGACCTTGGCATAAATTCATCCTGCTATTTTCATGAAAATACAAATATACATAAACTGTACAGAGAATAAGAAACTCTCCATGTCTTTCACACCTAAATTCTTGAAGTTAGTTAATCCTTTCAAATATGCTCATTAGGATAGAAAAGATCATTTCTACAGCTATCTTAGAAGACAGTCGCTGTGGATATACTAGAACTCTCTAACCAAAAGGAAACAAATCTCATAACCAGGAAACAGAGGGGGGAAAACAGAAAAAGAAAAGCCAGAGTCCCTTTCACTGGCCAGAAAAGAAAATAACACAGAGGCAGTCAGCTTAGAGATCTACCAGATAAAACCTCAAGATGGCTGCTGGTTATATATTTAAAAGCAATCTTGAAAAGTACAGACATTAAAACTTAAGTTACTCTAATAAAAGTAAGTGAACATTCAAAGAATACATCTAGTTGAACATTACTAAGAAAAATTAGGTTTGCCATTTCTCTAAAATAAAAACCATTCTTTCAGGGCCATTTCATTATCGCTATTTTTTACTATGGACAAATCAGGCAGGGAGATGTTACTAAGTACACCAAAATTAACAGGGCATACAACCAAATCAATTATTTATTTGAGACTTTAACATAGGGCTACAAAAAGTTTTGTAATTATGTATTTCAAAACATGTAGTGAAAGAAAAAATGTATATACTGAAAGAAACATACACTGAGAGATAAATTGGGCTTCATCGAAATTTAAAACACGTGCTTTAAAGGATAGGCTTGGCTGGGCACGGTGGCTCACGCCTGTAATCTCAGCACTTTGGAAGGCTGAGGCGGATGGATCATGAGGTCAGGAGATCGAGACCATCCTGGCTAACACGGTGAAACCCCGTCTCTATAAAAAATACCAAAAAAAAAATTAGCTAGGTGTGGTGGCAGGCGCCTGTAGTCCCAGCTACTTGGGAGGCTGAGGCAGGAGAATGGCATGAATTCGGGAGGCGGAGCTTGCAGTGAGCAGAGATCACACCCTGCACTCCAGCCTGGGCCACAGAGCGAGACTCCGTCTCAAAAAACAAAAAAAAGAAAGAAAAAAAGAAAAAGAAAAGAAAATTAAAACCCAAAATCCAACATCAGAGCTTGCAGTCTTAACTGATATAGTTTATCAACCTTCCTTAATAAATAAAACACTGATAAATAAAAAAGACATCCAATTTGAACCTGATTATCATCCTCTTCCCATATGGTTTATGTACCGCCTGATTAGATTTACCATAACTAGGTAGTGTCTTCAAAATTAGGGCATGAAAACCTATCATTCATGACAAAATATTCACATTTTACTTACCTTCTGTATTACTGACTGCTGGCTCAGGTGTGATTCTCCCATCAGTAATATTAGAGCTCTCCTCATCGGCATATACCAGATGGTCCTCTTTATTTTCTGGCCAGCGTGGAACCTCGCTTGTGTCTGTTGAACAGCTGCATACATCTTCATTCTTGTTGAAGTATCTTTGTAGCCACCCTGGCACAATATTCTTAACAGATTCTGTAACCCTGCTAAGAATGCCCTGTTGAGAGAAAAAACATATTATGACAGTTTTAGAAATTTATCTTTTTAAAATAAGTACCTACTCACTGAAAGCCAGGCCAAGCAAAACACAATGGTGTCCAACAAGTTTGCCAAAATTCAGTTACTACAGTTACTGCTAACATAATGGTTTTTACAAATTCTACAGATGTGAAATTCTTTCTTTCTTCTATATGCATACATAAGGCAATAATTGTCCCAAATGGCTGCATTATTCTAATCCTTAAAAAAACCCCAAAAGGCCATCAAATACTCAATGTCGATTTTAGATTTATTAATATGTAATACATGTTTTAATCTCAGAGAAAAGGCATCCATTTTTTCCCAGTATGTTAAAACATAAACAATACTTTCAATAGCTTTCTCAAGCAATTATTTTACTGCACATGCTTTAAGATAAATAAAAATTCAGACAACTAGAAATACAAGAGTTAAAAAAAAAAAATACAGGAACTAAAACAATCTGGCCAAGCGAGGTGGTTCATGCCTGTAATCCTAGCACTTTGGGGGACTGAGGTGGGCAGATCACCTGAGGTCGGGAGTTCAAGACCAGCCTGACCAACATGGAGAAACCCCATCTCTACTAAAAATACAAAAAATTAGCAGGGCATGGTGGCGCATGCCTATAATCCCAGCTACTCAGGAGGCTGAGGCAGGAGAATCACTTATATCCAGGAGACAGAGGTTACAGGGAGCCCAGACTGCACCATGGCACTCTAGCCCGGGCAACAAGGGCAAAACTCCATCTCAAAAAACAAAACAAAACAAATAAACAAACAAAAAAAAACAATCCAACAAAAATAAACTCAAGAAACAATCTAAAATCTTTTCTGATGTTGACATTTCACTACAGCAAATGTTGGCTGAAAATCTCAGTGATTAATTTTATTACGGTAACTTCTTTTTTTTTTTTTTGAGACGGAGTTTCACTCTTGTTGCCCAGGCTGGAGTGCAACGGTGCGATCTCGGCTCACCACAACCTCCGCCTCCTGGGTTCAATGGATTCTCCTGCCTCAGCCTCCCAATTAGCTGGGATTACACCACACCCAGCTAATTTTGTATTTTTAGTAGAGACGGGGTTTCTCCATGTTGGTCAGGCTGGCCTCAAACTCCCGACCTCAGGTGATCCGCCCACCTCTGCCTCCCAAAGTGCTGGGATTACAAGCATGAGCCACCGTGCCCAGCTATTATGGTAACTTTTCAAAGAAGAAAGGGAAAGTAATGTGGTATAATAGCTTTCACTATTATTTTTATTGTAGTTTGGCTATGTGCTAGACACTATTCTAAGCAATTTATACATATTATTTAGTTTAATCCTCACCATAACTTTATGAACTAATATCCCCACCTTATGGATAAGACAAACAATGAAGTTAAATAACTTGCCCAAAGTAGAAACACAACTACCACAGTATATCTAAGACAGAGTAAAAGTATGGGCTTTGGGCTCATGCCTGTAATCTCAGCACTTTGGGAGGCTGAGGTAAGTGGATCACGAGGTCAGGAGATTGAGACCATCCTGGCTAACACAGTGAAACCGCGTCTCTACTAAAAATACAAAAAATTAGCCAGGCGTGGTGGCGGGCGCATGTAGTCCCAGCTACTCGGGAGGCTGAGGCAGGAGAATGGCGTGAACCCGGGTGGCGTAGCTTGCAGTGAGCCGAATGTGCAGTAAAATAATTGCTTGAGAAAGCTTGCAGTGAGCCAAGATCTCCTGGGCGACAGAGCGAGACTCCGTCTCAAAAAAAAAAGTATGGGCTTTGGGATTGCCAGGACCTAGGGTAAAATTGGAGGACCTCCCTGTACTTTGATTTACTCTAGGTAAAATAACACTGCCTCCTATTATTTATAGTAATTATAATGAAAATCAAATGAAATAATGTGAAGGCATGTATCAATTTACAAGGTATAACAGAAACATACTGAAAACTTTTTTACTAACAAGGAAAAAAGCTGGCAATAAACTGGGGTAAGGTAACCGATTTTAGGCAACAATTTATTTCACGAAGCAGATTTAGTAGGATTTCAAAGAAAGAGTCAAAGAAAGGAAAAAAATGACTCAGTAGGTACAGAAAACAATAAAATCAAGGCAGAATATATAAATCTACCTAGAAGGGAAACTCAAGACAGAGGCCTTAAAATATCCTGCCAACAAAAAAAATGGAAGACATTTCTGATACAGGCACTTGAATAGTAATTTCCTTACTATGTGAAAAGGTAGCCGGGCGTGGTGGCTCACGCCTGTAATCCCAGCACTTTGGGAGGCCGAGGTGGGTGGATCATGAGATCAGGAGTTCAAGACCAGCCTGACCAATATGATGAAACCCCGCCTCTCCTAAAAATACAAAAAAAAATTAGCCGGGTGTGGTGGTGTGCATCTGTAATCCCAGCTACTCAGGAGGCTGAGGCAGGAAAATTGCTTGGAACTGGCAGATGGAGGTTGCAGTGAGCTAAGATCACGCCATTGCACTCCAGCCTGGGCAACAGAGCAAAAGCGAGACTCCGTCTCAAGAAAAAAAAAGGAAAGGTATAGGTAGCAACTGGGAAGCATGTAATTATTCTTCCATGTATTGTGCAAATTTTCAATAGATCTACAAGTAAGCTCTCTATCAAACACATGAAGCCAAGTTCTAGAACACTAACTACTGAACAACACCAATTCACTGTTCCCTTTTTCTTTGCTAATATTACACAGTATTAGTTACTATGGAAAGAAAGCCTATATACCTATATCCAATATTTAATATTTGTAAAAACACACCTAATACTAGTTACTTATCCCATTTCCATACTTCAAGACTTGAAAGTGTTTAAAAGCTATAATACAGTTTAAGACAGACTTAAGGCTGGGCGTGGTGGCTCATGCCTGTAATCTCAGCACTTTGGGAGGCCGAGTCTGGTGGATCACTTGAGGCCAGGAGCTGGAGACCAGCCTGGCCAACATGGCAAAACCCCGTATCTACTAAAAATACAAAAATTAGCCAGGCATGATGGTGCATGCCTGTAATCCCAGTTACTAGAGAGGCTGAGGCAGGAGAATCGCTTGAACGTGGGAGGCAGACGGGCCATTGCACTCCAGCCTGGGTGACACAGCGAGACTCCAGCTCAGAAAAACAAAAAAAGACTTAAAAACAAAGACATACTTGATATAGGTGACAGGCTAGCTAAAGCACTATAGCAAGAATTTTTTTTTTTCCAGAGACCTGTGTCATACCAGGTAGAGTGCAATGGCACGTGATCATGGCCCACTGCAGCCTCAAACTCCTGGGCTCTCATCTCAGCCTTCCAAGTAGCCAGGACTACAGGCCGACTACCACATCCAGCTATAGCAATTCTAGAATTTAATGTAGATTTAAAAATTTTTTGGGGGACTTCAAGTAAGGTGTTTAGCTACTAAACGTATCAGAGATTCCTGTGATCCCTATCCATCTGGAAGGCAAGTATAGAACAACTTTAAATTGGCTCCACCCTCACTCATAGATCCCTCATGTGGCAACATTAGGTATCTTCAAAAACAACTGGAAAACATAACTGGTCAAAGTGGATATAATAAAGCTCACTCACTAAAATACATGAACTTAGATTACAGACCGATTTTCTATACTAAAATTTAACCAACTTAACTAGTCTCAGCCCAGAAGAGCTTAATAGAGGAACAGTGAGACAGAGACATTACTAGTGGCACAGTGAATGACAGCATGAGGAGTAAAAAGGAATGCAGGCTATATTAGCTAGAACTGTGGCACAGGCCTGTAGTCTTAGCTACTTGGGAGGCTGAGACAGGAGAATCACTTGAGCCTAGGAATTCAAGGTTGCAGTCAGCTATGATTGTACCACTGCGCTCCTGCCTGGGTGACAGAGACCCTGTTTCTAAAAACAAAAAGACAAAAAGAAAGGAGGGAGGATGGGAAGAAGGAAGGAAAATAATAAAATGGACCTGGAACCAGTATGAAGGAACAAACATCCTTGTGTTTCAATACCCTAATATACCTTTGTAGGTTAAATGACCCTAAGTCATTAAGAAAAAGTTAAATTAAGCTTAATATAATTGAGTGGTCCTCAAAGTGTGATCCCTTTTTAGCAGTATTATCAGCATCATCCCAGGTCCTTCTCCAGCCCTTAGTAGGATAATCTCCAGAGGTAGGTCCCACCTGTTTTATCAAGCCCTCTGAAGTGATTCTAATATTGGAAATCAGATACATTTCAGGAAATTAAGATACATTTTAGAGAAGCCCCTCCAAAACAGATGAATAAAATTGTGCATTCTTGAAAGGCTTAATCTTCAGTTATCTAGAAAAAATATACATGTGGAGCACTAGTCAGACAATATTTAAGATTATAATGAAAATATTCTAAAGTGAATCAGGTAAACAAATCTTACAGACCATTTTAGACTGTGCTAAATACATACAGTTCATAAAATTATTTTCCTAGTGTTTCCCAAACTTTAGCCATGATTTTCACCTATACTGTTTTTCTCTGAATCCACTCACTTGGATTTAAAGTTTTTCTTTACTCACTTTTCTTAAAATTTAGCTTTTTCCTACACACACACACACACACACACACACACACACACTTATAAAATCACAGATTTGATGCTGTGCTGGTATCCACTTGCCCTTTTCTCAGCCCATTTTTGATAGGCTGTTTCTATGGACTGCACTACCAACTGGTTTCTGGTAAGACTGCCCCATGAGAGATATTAAACACTAGATATTAGAGAATGGGAGTAAAGAGAGGTCTTTTTTTGTGCTCCTCCCTGCTTAAATCTTGCTCCATCTCCAAAACTACCACTCCAGCACCCCTCCACTCCAGTTACAGCATTTCTTCCCTGTATTCTTCCAGTCCTAGAGAAGGTAGTAGCGTTCTGCTATTGGTCTCTGGGTATCTTGCTATCTTGTATTTATTCCATTAACCACCAGCATATCTCTAAGTAGACCCTTCTTAAAGATACTTCCTTTGAGGCCGGGAACAGTGGCTCACGCCTGTAATCCCAGCACTTTGGGAGGCCGAGGCGGGCAGATCACTTGAAGTCAGGAGCTGAGACCAGCCTGGCCAACGTGGTGAAACCCCAGCACTACTAAAAATACAAAAATTAGCTGGGTGTGGTGGCACACTCCTGTAATCCCAGCTACTAGGAAGGCTGAGGCAGAAAAAACGCTTGAACCCAGGAGGCAGAGGTTGCAGTGAGCTGAGATCGTGCCACTGCACTCCAGCCTGTAATCCCAGCACTCCCAAAGTGCACCACCACCGCGCCTGGCCTAATACTTCTCTAGTAGAAATTTGCATGGCCTCTTTACTTTTTCAGGTCTTTGCTTATATAATAGGACACCCATCTCATTTTGCTTCCCAGCTTTATTTTTTATTAAAACTTTTTTTCTATATTTTTTTCAAAATTGGGTATCCCATTCCACCTACTTTATTGATAGCACTGAATCACCATATTATATGTTTATGCGTTACATATTATGTTTACTTGTTTCCTTGTCTTCCTAACTTAGAACATAAGCTCCAAGAAGGCAGGAACTTGTTCACTGCTGTATCCTCTGTATTTAATGCTTGACATGTGGTATGTGATCAGCAAGTATTGATTGAATGAAGAATAGTAATGTTTGCCTTTACCTCCATGAGTTAGTATAGATTCTAAAATATTCACCAGGATAAAGACCCTTTTCTGGTCCATTTATGTACTGTTTTACAGAGATGAAGGTTGGGATAAAGAAATAAAGGATAGGAGCTGGGCCCGGTGGCTCACGCCTGTAATCCCAGCACTTCCGGAGGCCGACGCGGGCGGATTACCTGAGGTCAAGAGTTCAAGACCAGCCTGGCCAACATGGTGAAACCCTGTCTCTACAGAAATACAAAATTCAGCTGGGCATGATGGTGATGCCTGTAATCCTAGCTACTCAGGAGGCTGAGGGGGAAGAATCGCTTGAACCTGGGAGGCGGAGGTTGCAGTGAGCCAAGATCGCGCCATTGCACTCCAGCCTGGGTGACAGAGCAAGACTCCGTCTCACAAAAAAGAAAAGAAAAGAAAAAGAAATAAAGGATGGGGCTGGGGCCACGGTGGCTTACTCCTATAAGCCCAGCGCTTTGGGAGGCTGAAGAGGGAGAATCACGAGGTCAGAAGTTCAAGACCAGCCTGGCCAACATAGTGAAACCCCGTCTCTACTAAAAATAAAAAAAAAGTAGCCGGGCATGGTGGTGGGCACCTGTAGACCCAGCTACTTGGAAGGCTGAGGTAGGAGAATCGCTTGAACCCAGGACGCAGAGGTTGCAGTGAGCAGAGTTCACGCCACTGCACTCCAGCCTGAGCAACAAAGCGAGACTCTGTCTCAAGGAAAAAAAAAAAGAGAGAGTGGGAAGTACTATGGACTGAACGAACAAAAAGGTGCTAAGACCCAAATACAGGCGTGTCCTTGGATCATGCAATTCAAAGCTTCTGGTAACCTTATCAATAAATGCTAAATCTAGTAAAACTTAAAATAGCTTTAAATCTCACAAAATTCCCTTTAAATTGTGTGCATACCCATGTGTGACAATCTGTGTAATCTTTAGTTCTGTAGTTTATATATCTAGTCACTTATAAAAGGACTAAAACAGTGGTTCTCAAAGTGTAGTTCTCAGATCAGCAGCATTGGTGTAGCCTATGAGCTCATTAGAAAGGCAAATTTATTTTAATAAGCTCTTGAATTTGATTCTTCTGCAAATTAATGTTTGAGAACCACTATACTGAAACCATCAAAAACTCAGTGACCTGTTATTCTAATTAAGGCCTTGGTATACATAACCATGATTATAAGCTTAACTACAATAGAATTTTACCTAAAAGACCACCATTTTAATTAGTATCTTATTGTCTACCAAACACATATTTATAAACATATTTTTAATATCAACTCTGAAAAATCAATGAGAAGTTAACATAAAAGCCGACCTTCGAGTTGATTTCCACCGTTAAAGACTTACACAGAATATGTGTTTATGATGCACAGCCAACTATAAGACATTAGAAATTTTTAAAAAACTACTACGGAAAAGAAATATGCACAGTATTGGAAAGGAGACTATCAAGAGTTAACAGGGGGCTGGGCACGGTGGCTCACGCCTGTAATCCCAACACTTTAGGAGGCCAAGGTGGGCGGATCATGAGGTCAGGAGATCGAGACCATCCTGGCTAACACGGTGAAACCCTGTCTCTACTAAAAATACAAAAAATTAGCTGGACATGGTGGCGGGCACCTGTAGTCCCAGCTTCTCAGGAGGCTGAGGCAGGAGAATGGCGTGAACCCGGAAGGCGGAGCTTGCAGTGAGCTGAGATTGCACCACTGCACTCCAGCCTGGGTGACAGAGTGAGACTCCGTCTCAAAAAAAAAAACAGAAAAAGAAAATACTGGAACAATTTTTTGAAAATAAAATGAAGTTGATGTTCCAGTTGATCGTGCCATTGCACTCCAGCCTGGGTGACAAGAGTGAAACTGTCTCAAAACAAACAAACCAACCAACCCCAAAAAAGTTAAGGGACCCTGCCTACCAAACAGATCTGGAGAGGTACCTCCTTGACTGGCAGTTTTTTAAAAGAGTTTTGAAGTACTAAAGACTTCAGCCACTAACAAATAAGAGTAAAAAGAGTCTGACAAGAGGAAAAACGGTTTTCTTATGGAAGAAAAGGTTCCTTTGACCTTACTACCAAGGAAGGCCCAATGTAACCCACCTATGTTTTGAGGAGTTCTTGAGAGAAGAGTTCTTCAGGTCTTTACAGGAAATAAGCAGGCATGAGGGAAATAAGCTTTCTGTATGGACCTGAAAAGTGCTTTAAGATTTAAAAACAAGGCCAGGCACGGTGGCTCACGCCTGTAATCCCAGTACTTTGAGAGGCCGAGGCGGGTGGATCACAAGGTCAGGAGATCGAGACCATCCTGGCTAACACGGTGAAACCCCGTCTCTATTAAAAATATAAAAAATTAGCTGGGTGTGGTGGTGGATGCCTGTAGTCCCAGCTCCTCGGGAGGCTGAGGCAGGAGAATGGCGTGAACCCGGCAGGCGGAGCTTGCAGTGAGCCAAGATGGCGCCACTGCACTCCAACCTGGGCCACAGAGCAAGACTCCATCTCAAAAAAATAAAACAAATAAATAAAATCTTAAAAAACAGCCAGGTGCAGTAGCTTACGTCTGTAATCCCAGCACATTGGGAGGCCGAGGTGGGCAGATCACTTGAGGTCAGGAGTTTGAGACCAGCCTGACCAACATGGTGAAATACCATTTCTACTAAAACTACAAAAATTAGCTGGCAGGTGGTGTCCGCCTGTAATCCCAGCTACCCAGGAGGCTGAGGCAGGAGAATCACTTGAACCTGGGAGACGGAGGTTGCAGTGAGCCCAGATCACACCACTGCACTCCAGCCTGGGCTACAGAGCAAGACTCCGTCTCAAAAAAAAAAAAATTAATCTTAAAAAATACTCTGTGGCCCTAAAGCAAAGTCCACACTTCATAATCATAAATAATAAATTTAAGTTCAAGGATTAAAGGAGTGAATTTTAGAATGTGAACTGGCTAAATCCACTGGGTATTCTCTCTCCAAGAAAGAAGGGTTCTTCATTTGGCAAAACATGTCAAAAATGCCACTGAGATTTAGACTAATTAAAAATTCAATCTGGGGATTAGAATTCAATACTACATACATATCAGGAACATTCAACGTATAAGGTATTGTGAATACATTAGCTTTTCAAATTATATTTAACCTGAGTTGAAGGATTAATGAGCTGGGCGCAGTGGCTCATGCCTGTAATCCCAGCACTTTGGGAGGCTGAGGCAGACAGGTCACCTGAGGTCAGGAGTTCAAGACAAGCCTGGCCAACATGGCGAAACCCTGTCTCCATTAAAAAATGCAAAAATTAGCCAGGCGTGGTGGCAGGCACCTGTAATCCCAGCTACTTGAGAGGCTGAGGGAGGGAGAATTGCTTGAACCCAGGAGGCAGAGGTTGCAGTGAGCCGAGATCACATCACTGCACTCCAGCCTGGGCGACTGAGCGAGACTCCATCTCAAAAAAAAGGATTAATGAAAGGCAGCTGGGGTGGGGGCAGGCTACTCTATAACACTAACTCAGAAACAGCTGGGGTGGGGGAAGGCTATTCTATAACACTAACTCAGAAACAGCTGGGGTGGGGGAAGGCTATTCTATAACACTAACTCAGAACTCACTTGTAATTAACGACATTCTTTTCTTATAAACCTTTTCACAGGAATAACCAGAGGCATCTTTTCAGTATGGCCAACTCCTTGTCATTCCTATATATCCTTCCTTCCTTCTATACAAAGCTCTTTTCTTCCTACTAGTTTTCTTGACTTCAGTTCTGTTCAACTCCCTTTTCTTCACATTATCCTTAGCAGTGTTCAGATTATAAAATCTCCTTTCTCAAATAGTTTCACTGGATCTTTAACTATAAATATCAAATGCAGTCCATCATCAGTTTTAAGGTTCTGGAATCTTATTCTCCCAGGGAGCAGGTTTTTAATTCTTCAGCTAGAAAAGTACTTTAAATGGCTAGAGGACTTGGACTGATTGGATAGGGTAAACTTCGCTGCTGAATGGCATAGGCTTATAAAATACAACCAATAATGTCTTAGATTTGGATGTTAAATTCAGATTATTGAAACTAGATTCAGGTCCAAGCACCGTGGCTCACGCCTGTAATCTCAGTGCTTTGGAGGCCAAGGCAGGGGTTCTGCTTCAGTCCAGGAGTTGGAGACCAGCCTGGGGAATATGGCGAAACCCTGTCTCTACCGAAAAAATACAAAAATTAGCTGGGAGCAGCCGGGCGTGGTGGCTCACGCCTGTAACCCCAGCACTTTGGGAGGCCGAGGTGGGCGGATCACAAGGTCAGGAGATTGAGACCATCCCGGCTAACATGGTGAAACCCCATCTCTACTAAGAATACAAAAAATTAGCGGGGCGTGGTGGTGGGCACCTGTAGTCCCAGCTACTTGGGAGGCTGAGGCAGGAGAATGGCGTGAACCCGGGAGGCAGAGCTTGCAGTGAGCCGAGATCGCGCCACTACACTCCAGCTTGGGCGACAGAGCAAGACTCTGTCTCAAAAAAAAAAAAAAAAAAAGAGCTGGGAGCCTGAAGCAGGAGAATCACTTGAATCCCAGAGCGGGGCGGAGGTTGCAGTGAGCCAAGATCGTGCCATTGCACTCCAGCCTGGGCAACAGAGTGACACTGTCTTAAAAAAAAAAAAAGAAAACTCAATAAAAGCTCACAGTAGTTAAACTCACTAAAAGTTACCTACAAGATACTATCACACTTTTTCTCAGGTAACATGTTTGAAAATTGGGAGTAAGAGTTTGTTTCTTAAATCACACTAAGAAAAAGATATGCAAAATCAAGCAAACTGAAATATCTATAGATAGAAAAGGCATCCTATCATCCTGTTTCTGACAGTAAATGGTATGTGTCAGCAAGACTTGAAACCAAACTTCCCAACACAGAAGAATCTTTTAAAAATATATTACAACCATGAAGATAAGCTAAATAGCTACAAATAATTTTTTTTTTTTTTAAATACAAGCTAGCTGGGCGTGGTGGCTCAAGCCTGTAATCCCAACACTTTGGGAATCTGAGGCAGGCAGATCACAAGGTCAGGACTTCAAGACCAGCCTGGCCAACATGGTGAAACCCCGTCCCTACTAAAGATATAAAAACTTAGCCAGGAATAATGGTGCGTGCTACTCCAGAGGCTGAGGCAGGAGAATTGCTTGAACCTGGCAGGCGGAGGTTGCAGTGAGCCGAAATCGCACCATTGCACTTCAGCCTGGGTGACAGGGCGAGACTCGTCTCAAAAAAAAAAAAAAAAGAAAATACAAGATAATTACAATCTTTGCAATACTCTGTGCCTAATGAAAATGGTTTTGGCTGGGCAAGGTGGCTCACGCCTGTAATCCCAGCACTTTGGGAAGCCGAGGAGGGCAGATCACTTGAGGTCAGAAGTTTGAGACCACCACACCAACATGGTGAAACCCCGTGTCTACTAAAAATACAAAAATAGCCAGGCGTGGTGGCACACACCTGTAACCCCAGTTACTCAGGAGGCTGAAGCAGGAGAATCCCTTGAGCCTGGGAGGCAGAGACTGCAGTGAGCCAAGATCACAGCATGGCACTCCAGCCTGGGTGACAGAGCTAGATTCTGTCTCAAAAAAAAAGAAAAGTAAACAGTTTTAATTAGTGACATCAGACTACAATTTTTATTTTACTTCAAACTAAGATATCTGCCTTGTCAGGGACTTCCCAGAAAATGGATACAGCAAGTGGACTTTTTTGTCACTTATTAGAAAAATTAAGTAAATTAATATAATACCACACAAAACCTCTCATCACAAACAAAACACCTACTTTGCATTAAACAATTTAATACATGCAAGTATTGAATTTAGTCACCTAAAGGAAACAAAACTTCTGATAAGAAGCAGGAAAATTCAGAGACAATATGAAGACCCTAAATCAGGAGACTAATTTGAGTAATAATAAAACTGTGGTCTCCCACAAAAAAAAAGATCCTAAATCAAACAGTTCTATTTAATTTCAAATTTCAATTGCATATATATAATAAGGACTCAATTTTTAATAACTCCTTACCTATATACATATGCCAGGTCCTGTTCTAAAATCTTCACTTGTCCCATTTAACCTCCACAACAATTTTCACTTTACAGATGAGTAAATTAACTTGTCCAAGTCCAGGCAGAACAGGGATCCAAACTCAGGCTGACTCCATTACACTACAATGTTTTCCTAACAACTATCCTATCAACTATCCAATCCTATCAATGTTTCCATTTCTATTCCCACTGATTATATTAAGCATCTAGGATAAAGCAAATAAGGATAAAATAAAAGTTAAAAACTTGGTGACTTCTGGAATGATTTAAATATTCGACCTCTAAATATCCCTCCTTTTCAAATCTGAGAACACTCCAGCTATCAGATACCAGGCAGGACATACTTATTTGGGACAGAGTATCACAAAGAAGCTACCAAAACAAATAAAAACAATACTATCATATAAACCATGGTATAGCAAACAATGACCTGTGGGCTGGGCCAAATTCAGACCTTGGTCTTTTTTCATACAAGCTAAGAATGGTTTTTACATTTGCTAAAGGACTTTTAAAAACAAAACAAAGGACAATTTACCACAGCAAAGCCTAAAAATTCACTATCTGTGTCCCTTTCAGAAAAAGTTTACTGACCCCTGATCTAAGCTACTGATAAAGAGGTTTCCTTCCCCTTTTTAAAAATAGCTAAGCAGTGGCTCATGCCTGTAATCCCAGCACTTCGCGGGAGGCCAAGGCAGGTGGATGGATCACTTGAGGTCGGGAGTTCGAGACCAGCCTGATCAACATGGAGAAACCCCATCTCTACTAAAAATACAAAATTAGCTGGGAGTGGTGGCGCATGCCTGTAATTCCAGCTACTTGGGAGGCTGAAGCAGGAGAGTTGCTTGAACCCAGGAGGTGGAGGTTGCAGTGAGCCAAGATGGTGCCGTTGCACTCCAGCCTGGGCAACAAGAGCGAAACTCTGTCTAAAAAAAAAAAAAAAGCTAAATGCGCCAGGTGCAGTGGCTCACGCTTATAATCCCAGCACTTTGAGAGGCCGAGGAGGCCAGACCACGCAGTGAGGAGTTCGAGACCAGCCTGGCCAACTTGGTGAAACCCAGTCTCTATTAAAAATACAAAAATTAGGCCGAGTGTGGTAGCTCACACCCATAATCCCAGCACTTTGGGAGGTCAAGGCAGGTGGATCAGGAAGTCAGGAGTTCAAGAACAGCTTGGCCAAGATGGTGAAACCCTGTCTCTACTAAAAATACAAAAATTAGCTGGGCGTGGTGGCACGTGCCTGTAGTCCCAGCTACTCGGGAGGCTGAGGCAGAGAACTGCTTGAACCCAGGAGGCGGAGGTTGCAGTGAGCCGAGGTCGCACCATTGCACTCCAGCCTGGGTGACAGAACAAGACTCCATCTCAAAAAAAAAAAAAAAATACAAAAATTAGCTAGGCGTGGTGGCCTGCGCCTGTAATCCCAGCTACTCAAGAGCTGAGGCAGGAGAGCTGCTTGAACTCGGGAGGCAGAAGTTGCAGTGAGCCAAGATTGTGCCACTGCACTCCAGCCTGGGCAACAGAGCAAGACTCTGTCTCGGGGGGGGGGGGAAAAAAGCTAAATGCAGGAACTGACTTGTAAGACAAACTATATCTAGGAGGATTAAAGGCGGAGTCCCTTAGCTCTAAACCAGAAGATAAATGTCTGAAGCATACTACCCACACCACCCCACCCCACCCCCATCCCGGGACAAAAAGGGCAAAAATAAGTGGTTTCCTCTCACCAGGAGGTGGCAGTAGGTTCTGGTTTGCCCATGGACTCAAGTTTTTTGTAGTGGTTACTAAGAAAAGCAAGCAGCCTGACCTCTCCAAAGAGCTGACTTTCTGTGCCTGACAATCTGAACAAAAAGGAAATGGAAAAGGAAGACAGGAACTAACCACATTCTCTTCAGTTACCTATTCACTCTCAACTAGAAAAATGACACCATTTCTGGCCGGGCGAGGTAGCTCATGCCTGTAATACCAGCACTTTGGGAGGCCGAGGCGGGTGGATCACAAGGTCAGGAGATCGAGAACATCCTGGCTAACACGGTGAAACCCCGTCTCTGCTAAAAATACAAAAAATTAGCCGGACGTGGTGGCAAGGCACCTGTAGTCCCAGCTACTCGGGAGGCTGAGGCAGAAGAATGGCGTGAACCCGGGAGGCAGAGCTTGCAGTGAGCAGAGATCGTGCCACTGCACTCCAGCCTGGGTGACAGAGCGAGACTCTGTCTCAAAAACAAAACAAAAAAAATCAGCCGTTTGTGGTGGCGCATGCCTGTAATGCCAGCTACTCGGGAGGCTGAGGCAGGAGAATAGCTTGAACCCAGGAGGCAGAGGTTGCACTGAGCCGAGATTGCACCATTGCACTCCAGCCTGGGCAACAGATGCAAAACTCCGTCTCAAAAAAAGAAAGGAGAAAAGAAAAATGACACCATTTCCTAAATGCATCTAGGCAAAAAGGTAAAGGGGTAGGGGAGAAGGCAAGTAAGAATGATCAGCTTGCATTATTCAGGGCTGTTCTTCATATTTGCTTCTACAATTCTTAAGAGTTATTACCCTTATAACTCTTCAGTTATTTGAGCAAGACAATGAATTTGTCTGCACAACTTCATGCAAGATGACATTTTAAAGATCAGAATTTGGGCCGGGCGCGGTGGCTCACGCCTGTAATACCAGCACTTTTGGGAGGCTGTGGCGGGTGGATCACCTGAGGTCAGGAGTTTGAGACCAGCCTGACCAACATGGCGAAATCCCGTCTCTAAAAATACAAAAATTAGCCGGGCGTGGTGGCGCATGCCTGTAATCCCAACTACTTGGGAGGCTGAGGCAAGAGAATGGAATGAACCCAGGAGGCAAAGGTTGCAGTGAGCCAAGATCGAGCCACTGCACTCCAGCCTGGGCCACAGAACGAGACTCCATCTCAAAAAAAAAAAAAAAAATTAAAAAAAAAATAAGTTAAAGAAGGAAAGTAGTAAACTTACAGCATTTCCCAGGAGAGCTAAACCCAGAAGTCAAAACAGGAAATTACAAGTCAAATGAACACATGCAGAAGTCATAGGTACTGGGTGACTGTACTAGCCAAGTTGCCCTGACAGGCACTGGCAAACATCCATTAACTAACAGCGCCAGACCTCTCATTGTTTCTTACTCCAACTTTCTGCTATACTACCAAAAGCTTAATTTTTGCCCAGAAACCCTTGGACACTTAATCAAATAACATTAGTATAAAACATGCCATGTCATGAAGCTTGCTTCATGATGACTCAGCAGCTTCTGCAAAACATCCAGTTGACAGCCTAGGATAATAAACAGCAAGTGGGTAGACCCTATGTCCACCAAAGCCTCAATAAGGACTAAAGAAAGTCCTTATTTTTAAGATTAAAAAAAAAAAAAAGGAGAGTATTCTTTTGAATATACCTGAATACTTTCCTTGGGTAGTGGTAGTTTCTGCCAATATTAAATAGCACCTACAGTGTTGATCAAGAAACCCCTAAATACCTTTACTTCCCAATTCAAAAGCTAAAATATGTTTTCTTTTTTAATTAAATAGGACAAGAAGCAAAAGTATTTTAGATAAGGGGCAATGATAAATTATCAAGATTTAAAACAAAACTACACAGCCTGAAGTCGTATCAACTCTAAGACACCTTGGATCATAGGTGTTATGCTGTTAAGACATCATCTCCCCAAAATTAGATTTTTATTTTATCTAAGTACATTTAAGCTGTGATCAGGGGCCGGGCGCGGTGGCTCACGCCTGTAATCCCAGCACTTCGGGAGGCCGAAGCGGGGAGATCACGAGGTCAGGAGATCGAGATCGTCCTGGCTAACATGGTGAAACCCCGTCTCTACTAAAAATACAAAAAATTAGCTGGGCGTGGTGGCGGGCGCCTGTAGTTCCAGCTACTCTGGAGGCTGAGGCAGGAGAATGGCATTAACCCGGGAGGCGGAGCTTGCAGTGAGCCAAGATCGCGCCACTGCACTCCAGCCTGGGTGACAGAGCGAGACTCCGTCTCAAAAAAAAAAAAAAAAGCTGTGATAACTTCAGACATCTGGAAAATATTAATTCCCTTCTAACCTCTATTCAGACCATCCAATGACCTATATTTAAAACAAGTCATTTTTCTACATGTCATACAAGAAAATCTAAGCACTCAAAGGCATTCATAGGAGAAAAGAAAGCATGCATGTGTAACTTCCATTCTACAGACGGATTAGGTTAAATGGCCAGGCTTGTGACCTGAATTCTAATCTTAAATCTGCTCGCAAATACCCCTTTTCTTCACAAATTTGAAAACTAAGCACTTTATGTACATATCTGGGGGAAAACTGGTGGGAGTAGTAACAGTGCCAAACCTAACCATCAGTAGAGAACGACTGAAAATACCTGAACCACAATTTTTACTACTCAAACATTTCCCTCAAAATAAAAAACATTTAAGAAAACTAGAAGACAAAAAAAAAAAAATTCCTCAAATCTTTACTTTTTTTTTTTTTCTTCGAGACAAGAGTCTCGCTCTGTCGCCCAGGCTGGAGTGCAGGGGCAAGATCTCTGCTCACGGCAAGCTCCGCCTCCCGGGTTCAAGCCATTCTCCTGCCTCAGCCTCCCAAGTAGCTGGGACTACAGGCGCCTGCCACCACGCCCGGCTAATTTTTTGTATTTGTTAGTAGGGACGGGGTTTCACCGTCTCTGGATGGTCTGGATCTCCTGACCTCGGTGATCCACCCGCCTCGGCCTCCCAAAGTGCTGGGATTACAGGCGTGAGCCAACGCGCCCGACCCAAATCTTTACTTTTAAAAATCTGTTGATAATGACACAATTTAACAACATCAACCATGTGAAAGTGTGTAATCTTTATTAGCATCCAGAATAAAGTAATCTAGGAAGTCTACCTTTAACAGTAGGCAACAAGTTATCAGATCCTTTTGCTACACTTTTGTTTTTCAACAAATTTAAGACACACACTTCCCACCTCAGTATCACTGATAAGTGGCTTTATTAAAATAAGTTAACATTTTCCTATTCAATACTTCTAACAATCAATATTTTAAAAATGGAATTTTCTCAGAATCAACTATCTCATTTACAATTAGGATAATCCTTTTTTATAATTTTAAACATCCAGGAGTTCATACAGTGGCTAAACTATAAGACCACCAACATTCCTGGAGTGTCAAAAGTAACTATACTTCTAGAATACGCCTCATAATATTAAAATATTTTGTGTATGAGATCAGAGCTGGAGTCCCGGTCAACTGTGGAGAATGGCCAATTCCAGCCTCCAAAATAAAGGCGGGGGTGGCGGTGTTGGGGGGGGGGAGGGGAGTCGCGCAGCAGAGAAAAGACGTAAGGGTGGAGAGGGACTTTCAAAATGCCCCAGTGCCACGGTTAACTATAACCTGGTTAATAAAATCTAAGCCAATGCTCTCAAGACGAGGAGGGCCACAGGCAGGGGAAACCGAGAATTAACTCATAGGCTGAGACTAAGTTATTCCACTTTCCATGTAACAGCGCCCCCCACAACTCCCCGTCTGCCCCAGAGTTAAGATTCCAAGGGGCAGCCCCCCCTCCTCAAACACACTAAAGAAGGGACACCAGAAAACAGCAAGTATAAGGGCCATCAACCACATCTTTTCCTTTCTCCCTCGAGAGAACATGAGTAATACCCTCAAATTCCAAATCCCCGCCAAAAAATAAAGAAACGCGCGCATCATGGGCCTACAATTTCTTTTCCCGCCCAGAGCCTGCCTGGGAAAGCCCCTGACCCAGAGAGTTGGGGGAAAGGCGGCCCAAACCACACGTGTGCGCCGCAAGGCTGGGCCTGTCTCAGCCCACTTCCCGTCGCCACCCCCAACGGCCTGAGCTCCCCCGGAGCCTCACTCGGGCCTTTCCTCAGGCCCTCCTGTCTGCTCCACGTGGGGCGCCGGGGCCTCGAACCGCCCGTCCCCTCCAGCCGAGTTTCCCCACCCGCCAGGCCACCGCGGCGTCGGGGTCCCATACCTGATGCTGTTGTCGCCCCTGCTGGTAAGGCTTAATTGGCCCCTGGTGGCAACGCCGCGTCCGGATCTTGCCGCCACCGCCCCCTCCGACTCCTCCGGCTCCCGAGGCCATGGCGGAGCCTCCGCCGCTTCCCGCTCCGGGGCGGGTAAGGGGGCGGGAGAGGCAGAGGCGGAGGCCTTAGAGAGCCTCCCCCGCCGCCCGGCCCCGGCCCAAAAGTCCGCCCGCGCTGTCCACACAGTGGGCACAAGCACCCCAGGAACCGCGAGGTTGCGAGCAGGAGCGGAGAGAGGGTGAGTGCTGGCAGCGGGGAAGGGGGTGGCGGCCGCAGAGGCCGAGGAGGCTCCGGTCCGGCCGCCTCTGCGGACCCCCGCCTCTGTGTGTGTCACGGTCTCTATGGAGATCTCCCGCAGAGGACAGCACGAACAGTTCCCCGCGGTGCTGAGGCCTAACTCGACCGCCGACTGGTGGGAGTTCTTCCGTCGCCCTAGCCGTAGCTGCCGCAGTTGAAGCCGCTGGCGACGCCCGCCTACCCCTCCCCTGTGCGCACAGCGCCCGCCCCGCCGCCGTCGTCGTCGTCGTCCCTGCAGCCTCCGCCGCCGTTGCGCCTATTACCCCTGCTAAGGCGGCTGCCGCGGTCGCGAGCCAGAATGTCGTCACTCATCGGCGCCCGACGCATTTGCATCATCATGCTGCGACGAGCTGATAGGCAAAGAGGAAGGGCTGGTCGAGTCCACGCTCTCGGCCGCGCGGCACGCTGGGAAACGTAGTTCAACAACGGAACGCGGCTTCTCGGAAAGGAAGAGGGACGGGGAAGGAGATCTCCGGGGCGCCGCAGAGGCACAAAGCCAAGGGGTACTTTTGCTGTTCTTGGCTGTAAATTAGACTTTGAAAAGACACTTAACATAAAAACAGTAACCTCTTCCCATTCTCCTTCTCCCTGTCGGTTGGTTAAGTAGGCAGGAAGTAAGCAGACAGTAAAATCAAAGACAAGAGCTAATGATTTAAGAAGGAGGAAAAAAAAATCTGTGGTTGAAAAATAAAGTCCATGATCCTTAGAATTAGAAAATATATACGGCTTCATTAATGTTTCTTTAAACATATAAAGGTTTTGTTGCAGACACACGGGGCTGGAATTCTGGTTCTGCCACCCAACCTATTTGACCTTGGATGAATCAAAACCGTCTGAGCCTTAGCTTCCTCCTCCATAAAATGGGAGCTTTAAAATCCACCTTATAAAGCTGTTGTGAGGAGCAGACGTGATCATCTATGGAGAGCATGTATATTTGCTAATAGACGAAAAATGCGATGAATGATTACAATTATAACCCATGCAGTCAGCTAACATTAGGGGTAAGTGATATATCCTTAACAATAAAAGTATACTATATTTGCTCCAAATATTTAGGAAACTGAGTAAGTGAGCTAGACTCAAAGACTGAATCCACAAAATGTATATTCTAGGAGTTGACGATTAGAAAGGTCCTGGTGATCACATAGTCCAACCCTCTCATTCAACCAACCAGACAAGATGTCCAGAGAAATTTAGGTGGCACAATCAATGACACTGAGATGGGTAATCAAAGCCAGGACTATAACCCAACTTTTCTGTAAGAGCTAAAGACAAATAGCCAAATGATTAGGGAGGAAAAATATGTTGTGAAAAATCTTAGACTTACTATAAATCTTTTTTTTTCTTTCTTTCTTTCTTTCTTTTTTTCTGAGAGACAGAGTCTTGCCCTGTCGCCCAGGCTGGAGTGCAGTGGCGCGATCTTGGCTCACTGCACCCTTTGCCTCCCAGGTTCAAGCTATTCTCCTGCCTCGGCTTCCTAAGTAGCTGGGACTACAGGCGTGCACCACCACGCCCAGCTGATTTGTGTATTTTTAGTAGAGATGGGGTTTCGCCATGTTGGCCAGGCTGGCCTTGAACTCCTGACCTCAAGTGATCCACCCGCCTTGGCCTCCCAAAGTGCTGGGATTACCCGTGTGAGCCGCCACGCCCAGCCTATTTACTATAAATCTCCCACTTACTAGCTGTGTAGCCTTGGGGAAGTTACTGATCCTGTTTCTTTCTTTTTTTTTTTTTTTTGAGACGAAGTTTTTTCCTCTTGTTTTGCCCAGGCTGGAGTGCAATGGCGCAATCTCAGCAACCTCCACCTCCTGGGTTCAAGCGATTCTCCTGCCTCAGCCTCCCGAGTAGCTGGGATTACAGGCATGTGCCACGACGGCCGGCTAATTTTGTATTTTTACTAGAGATGGGGTTTCTCCATGTTGGTCAGGCTGGTCTCGAACTCTCAATCTCAGGTGATCTGCCCACGGCCTCCCAAAGTGCTGGGATTACAGGCGTGAGCCACCGCGCCCAGCCCACTGATCCTGTTTCTAAGCTTCGTTTTTTTCATCAGCAAATAGAGCGAATATTGACCTCACAGGGTAGTGGTCTGGTGAAAGGATTAATGTATATCTAGTTCATAGTAACTGCTTAGATAGAAAGCATCCAATATCAACCATCAATCAGATATAAATAATTAGTTCCAAGACATTTATACTATCTCCACAATCAAACTGCACAATTCAGGTTCATTGTTTAAATCATACAAGTGAAATTGTAAAGCCAGTCTTCTAGTACCTTTGAACTTGTACCTTTCAGCGCCTAAAGAAACTATGCTATACCAAGCATAGGTGTACACATCAATGGCTTTCAGTGGCACCTCTGACCATAACCATCAAGATCAAGACAAGTTGCCAAATATGATAAACAAAATTAATCTATTTTCCGCTGTCTCATCCTAGCTTCATGCCTCCTCCCACCACTAACTTCCCACTAAATTCTCCAGGTATGCCCCCTCTTCCTCCTGAAGCACTTCATCTTTCTTAAAGACAGTTGTTTCCCTCAGGTGCTATCTTCCTCCTATGCAGAAATCCTATTCTTCCACAAATCCATAGCTAGATATTTGACAGCCAAGTAAAGTAATTCACGATAAGCTAACTCATAGGGAAGATCTGTACCTGAATCTTTAATTGGGTTATACGTAGAGGAGATTAAACCATAGCCACATCCCATCTGCCCTCTTCACTCTATGAGACCCAGAGTTTCCACCACAGAACAGAGGACTGACTGGAATCAAAGCTCACCCCTTTCTTGGAGGCTATTCTTTGATGTGCTGGACACCCTTCACAGCCAACCTTTGAAAGGAAGAGAGACGCGAAAGAATTGGGCCAAATGTAGACAATGCTTCAGAAATAGAAGATTGGTAGAACTTGAGGAGATATGGGAAAATCCACATTCCTTTTACCCATGCTCTCAACTTTTTACCCATTTCCACAATTATTTTATTTCTTGGAAGTAAAATAGTATTTGAGGGAACTATAATGCATTAATCTCACATTCATGTGATTGAGTCATTGGAAGCCGTGCCAGGCTTGAGAGCAGAGAAGGAATAAAGAGACAGGAGGAAATCTGCATTCAACCTGGACCTAGTTTTTTCAGCCAAATAAATGGCATATTGGGAGACACTGCAATTCATGAAAAGCTTGTTGCTACAATAGTCCTCCTCTGCCAAGAAACTTCTTTATTTTGTTCCCCATATAATATAGTAGAAAGTGGCCGAGCACAGTGGCTCACACCTGTAATCCCAGCACTCTGGGAGGCCAAGGCGGGTGGATCACTGGAGGTCAGGAGTTCGAGACCAGCCTGGCCAACATGGTGAAACCTGTCTCCACTTAAAAAAAAAAAAAAAAAAATTAGCTGGGCGTGGTGGTGCTCACCTGTAGTCCCAGCCACTCGGGAAGCTGAGGCAGGAGAATCGCTTGAACCATGGAGGTGGAGGTTGCAGTGAACTGAGATCATGCCACTGCACTCCAGCCTGGGCCACAGAGTGAGACTCCATATCAAAAAAATTAAAAAATTAAAACAACAAATATATATATATATGTATATATATATATGTAACCAGCTGCCAATTATAAATTAGCAAATAGGCTGCTGACCCATCTCTAATAGATAAGGAGTATCCACTAATTAAAAGTGAAATACAATTTAGTCTAAACCCAACCTAGATTGAAAAAGAGCCATCATACATTCTTCAGAAGGTACTAATACAATTCTGGCCAAAAGAATGTTTAAAGATGACAAGTACAAGAAGTTACGAAATTTTATGTAGTTATTCCACCTTACCAAAACAAAATGAGGTATCTGCTGTGATGTCTATTAAAACAAATTATCACACTCATGCACAGCATAACAATGTTTCAATCAACAATGGGCCCAATATACAATGGTGGTCCCATAAAGAGCTGAAAAATTCGTATTGCCTGGTGATACTGTCTTTGTCCTAAGGTCTTATTGCAACACATTACTCACGTGTTTGTGGTGATGCTGGTATAAACAAACCTACTGTGTTGCCATTTGTGTAAAAGTGGAGTATGTACAATTATGTACAGTACAGAATACTTCATAATGATAAGTGGCTGTTTCTGGTTTATGTATTTACTATACCTTTTTTTTTTTTTTAACAGGCACTCCTTGCCATTTCCTGTTGCTACCATACTTTATTATTTTAAAGTGTATTCCTGGTCAGGCATGTGGCTCACACCCATAATCTCAGCACTTTGGGAAGCCAAGGCAGGAGGATCACTTGAGGCCAGGAGATTGAAACCAGCCTGGGCAACATAACGAGACCCCTTCTCTACAAAGAAATGAAAAAATTAGTTGAGCTTAGTGGTGTGCACCTGTAGTCCCAGCTACTAGGGAGGCTGAGGCAGGAGGATCACTTGAGCCCAGGAGTCTAAGGCTGCAGCGAGCTATGATCTCACCACTGCAGTCCAGCCTAGGTAACAGAGTGAGACCCCATCTCTAAAGAAAAAAATAAAGAAAATGAAGCTATTGGGTTTATTTATTATTTATTTATTTATTTATTGCCTGTTTGCTTGTATTTTAGGGAAAGAAGGGCCACACAACGGAAAGATATTTAAGGATGTAAATCATTGTATTCTCATTAACTTACTGTGTTCTCTCTCTATTGGGAATAAAGTAATATTTAAGACTAAATTAACTAATATGAGCAAATTTTGATTAACTACATATATCACTTGATTCCAACATGCCATATATTTCCTCTTCCTGACTACATGTATCAATGTATACTAGACTTTGGTATATATGTGTTTATGTACATTACATTATAGTTTAAGGCATATTTTAAATTCAATCTTGAATGGAAACTCAGTTTTATTGGATGAAATAATAACCAAATTTAGGAAGGCAATCCCATCCTAACATTTAAGACAGTTAATGAATTAACTGAGATTAATTCATTAAAACACAAATATTTATTGAGATATTTATGTGTTGGTTTCTAGTCTTGGCATTTAGTATGTCAGTATACAAAACTGTAAAACAATCTCTGTCTACATATTATGCTACACTTTACCATTTTATTGAGTTATACTAAAGTTTACTATTTTATAATCTATTAATCATTAGCACTTAACACTGATAATTCACCTTAAAAATGCTACACTCAAGCCAGGCACAGTGGCTCACACCAGTAATCCAGCAGTTTGGGAGGCCAAGATGTGCGGATCACCCGAGGTCAGGAGTTTGAGACCAGCCTGGCCAACGTGGCAAAACCCCGTCTCTACTAAAAAAATTAAAAAATTAGCCGAGTGTGGTGGCACATGCCTGTAATCCCAGCTACTTGGGAGGCTGAGACAGAAGAATCGCTTGAACTTGGGAGGCAGAGGTTGCAGTGAGCCGAGATCATGCTACGGTACTGCAGCCTGGGCAACTGAGCCAGACTCTGTCTCAAAAAAAAAAAAAAAAACCTACACGTAAATTCTAAACACATGCTGTTGAATCTATCTCATACAAGAAATCAGGGGCGGGCACGGTGGCTCATGCCTGTAATCTCAGCACTTTGGGAGGCCAAGGCAGGCGGATCACGAGGTCAGGAGATCAAGACCATCCTGGCTAACATGGTGAAACCACCGTCTCTACTAAAAATACAAAAAAAAAAAATTAGCCGGGCGCGGTGGTGGGCGCCTGTAATCCCAGCTACTCGGGAGGCTGAGGCAGGAGAATGGCATGAACCTGGGAGGCGGAGCTTTCAGTGAGCGGAGATCATGCCACTGCACTCCAGCCTGGGCGACAGAGCGAGACTCCATCTCAAAAAAAAAGAAAAAAGAAAAAAAAGAAATCAATTGGTTTAGTTTTATTTATTAACATAATTCATCAGTTACATTACGAAACTGGACTTATTAAGGTTGCAGTCTGTAAAACTATAACCTTTGCAAACCTTAGTTTGCTAATACTAAGCTTCTTTATTTTTTAAAAGCATTTGTAGAGAATGCTCAAGTTTATCAGACCCTAACTTATTAAGGCATTCCTTTTCAAAAGCATGCAAACCAGTTAACATGCAAACAACCCTCACATACATATCACCCCACCACCATCAGACAAGCATGAACTACCCAGTTTAAACAAACAGTGACTTTTGGCCTCTTGCTGCTACTCTGACCAGCAAGCACCAGCTGCAGCCCCCGGGAGCTTGTTAGAATAAAGCAGCTCTGCCCATCCCAAGCCAACACAATCAGAATCTACATTTTAACAAGATCACCAGGTGAACTGTATTACATTCTAGGAGCATTGTTTCAAAACCATGCCACCAGAAGTTATTAATCTGAAGTTAGATTAACTTTGAAGGCAAGACAATGAGGTACCTGAAGTTCCCGTAAAGAGCAGGCTTAGGAACTTCTGTTCCTTACTAATCTACAACAATCAACAATTTAAGAATTGATGAACCAACAGCTTATACAACATGTAGTTTTTTTTCCTCTTCTTTATCATTCTGTACCTTTCTCCTTTACCACAAAGTGAGCAGAAATGGAATGAACCATTTTTTAATTATTCTTTCATTAACTTTTTTTTTCCAAAGGAAAAAGGTAATCTAGCAGAAGTTATTAACATCTGAAATGTTAAGGGTCTAAAACTGAGCATTAGTTATGAAATATACTTAAGCATAGATATTTCAAGAACCCCTTGCTAATTCCCATGTATCCTTTTCTTATACAAATTTTCTTTTAGTCACTGCTGGTTGTTTGGTTGGTTGCAAAAGAAAAAGAAAAATTTTATTTTAGAACTAATTCATGAAAAAAAAAAATGGATGTAAAGTAAACCCTAATCCAAGAAGCTATGAGCAGAGATAAATTCCTAAAAGAAATATCAGGCTACTTTCTTAGAATTGCGATGACTTTTCTCATTCCGTTGTAGTCACAAAATCATTTTTAAGGTAGAAAAGCAAGCGGGCACTCTAGGAGGGAATATTCTTAGGCTTGGATTGGCATCTAATATATCTGGAATGCTAGATGAGAATTCAGGCAACTTGGAATAAACTGTAATTTTTCTAAACTGTAAAGGCAGGAATGGTAGCAGCTTTCTACTTGACAAATCATAAAAACAATTAGATTACCTACCTCTAGTAGCTTGACCTCTTTTTTTTTTTTTTTTTTTCAGACGGAGTCTGCCTCTGTCGTCCAGGCTGGAGTGCTGGAGTGCAGTGGCACGATCTCGGCTCACTGCAAGCTCCGCCTCCCGGGTTCACGCCATTCTTCTGCCTCAGCCTCCCGAGTAGCTGGGACTACAGGTGCCCGCCACTATGGCTGGCTAATTTTTTGTATTTTTTTTTTTTTAGTAGAGACGGGGTTTCACTGTGTTAGCCAGGATGGTCTCGATCTCCTGACCTCGTGATCCGCCTGCCTTGGCCTCCCAGAGTGCTGGGATTACAGGCGTGAGCCACCGTGCCCGGCCATAGCTTGACCTCTTAAATAGCTGCTATGAAGCTAAGACAATAATTGGACATAGTATTTTCTCCAAACATTACTTCTGGAAAAGTTCAATTTGATAACAATAATGGATATGTTAGTCTAAAAGTTTCCAGAAGAAGTCATCACAACATGCCTATTGTTCTTAACTCCTGCAATAGAGAAGGCCTAAAAAGCTGTGCAATACAAAAGGTGAAAAATCATATTTAAAAACTTACATACATCACCCCTTGTGTAGGCCAAATAGAAGCATGTTTGCTCATGTGAACAGTTAAACATCAAGGGCAGATAATGAGGTCACTGAAGTTCCTGTAAAGAGCAGGCTTAGGAATTTCTGTTCCTTGCTCATCTACAACAACCAACAATTTAAGTAAGAATTGATGAGCCAGCAGCTTATTGATCATGTAGATTTTTTTTTTCCTTTTACCATTCAGTAACTTTCACTTTTACCACAAAGTGAGCAGAAATGAGATGAACCATTTTTTAATTGTTATTTTCATTAGCTTCTATTTCCAAAGGAAGCTAGGCTACTAGCTGAAATGAAAATCTGGATTTAGCACATCCTTATTCTGTATCATCACAGGTAGCAGAGTTGATTTAACAGAGCAATTACACAAGCATAATGGTTAGTTAAGATGATTTTAAGCCAATATCTATAATCCATGGCCAGTGGCCTCAATGTAGCTTACCTTGTTTGGATCCATTATAATGACAGTAGGATATCATGAGCTACCAAAAGTAGGCTTCTTTAAAACCAAAAAAAAAAAAAAAAAAAAAAACCCAATAAAAAGAACTCTTCAAATATTCTCCAAAGCAAAGATGAGTGAGGTTATATCATTCTACATTTAGTATTAAAAAGGCAGTATCACCAAACAAATTGAAGGCAACTTTGCAGACGTTGAGCAAAACCTACTTAAACAACCACCCCCAACTACAGAAAACTCTCCCCCTCTCCCCATGAAGGTGTAGCTTCCACTATGTACCCATACAATGTGTAGAATAAAAGCATCAAAGCAGACCATAGGCCTCCAAGAAGGCCACAACCAAGCAACAAAGAGCATCAACTAGCCACAGTTAAACCCAAGCCATAACTTAAATGCTTTCAATTAGTAACAGTTACATTTTCTTTTTCACTTGTTTGGTCATAAAATCTTGCCCCTTCAATGAGTCAGCAGTGACTCATAAGCACTTCCTACAAGAAGCACCCGCTTTTAGGCCCATCCCTTCCAGCCGAAGTGCTGAGACCCAGGATTGATTTTAGCTTCATCCTTGCTGATGCTTGAGTTTAATCACTTGTCTCTCTCATACTGGATATCCATGTTGGCCAGCAGTTACTCTGCAAAGTAGTGGTCTGCTGCTGTGCAGTGAGGAGGCAAATCCACAAAGGGGCACCAGGAGTAGTAGACAATTGGGAAGGAAATGCCATTTTTCTCTCTTCGCTCTTGTCCACTATAGCTCTGCCTCTTTGACTCCTCATCATAAGGTCCCAGCCTTTACAACTATGCCTCCTCCTGTACCAGCAGAGTCTCCTCTCAAGGTTTGGTTTTGGTTTACAAACAAAGAGGAACTGACTTTTTGCCTACACCACTAACTTTAGAACACGGTCCTTTGAAAAGTATCCAAAACTGAGGTCGGGAGTTCGAGACCAGCCAGACCAACATGGAGAAACCTCGTCTCTGCTAAAAATACCAAATTAGCCGGGTGTGGTGGCATATGCCTGTAATCACAGCTACTCGGGAGGTTGAGGCAGGAGAATTCCTTGAACCCAGGAGGCGGAGGTTGTGGTAAGCTGAGATCGCACCAATTGCACTCCAACCTGGGCAAAAAGAGCAAAACTCTGTCTCAAAAAAAAAAAGAAAATCCAAAACTGAGATGGAGGGGAAAAAACGCGACAGTTCTGAGAAGCTTTCTGCCTTAATTTCTTTCTTTCTTTCTTTCTTCTTTATTATTATTATTATTTTTTTTTGAGATCGTGTCTTGCTCTGTTGCCCGGGCTAGAGTGCAGTGGTGAGATCTCCGCTCACTGCAACCTCCGCCTCCATAGTTCAAGTGATTCTCCTGCCTCAGCCTCCCAAGTAGCTGGGACTACAGGCACCTGCCACCAAACCCGGCTAATTTTTATATTTTTTAGTAGGAATTGGGATATCCTAATTTCAAGTTAATGAAAAGAACAAGAAAAGTGCAGTGGTTAGTTTTACATGAGATCCAAACAAAACAGGTCAGATCACTTGTTTCAATTTCTCCAGCAATTTTCCACTGAAAACTTCCTATATATGGAAGGAATATAGAAAAAGAAAAGAGGAAATGTTTAAGGAGTGATGTCAGACAAAAGAGAAGGAGGCTGAGACGAGCAAGCAGGGAGGGCAAATTTTAAATTCTGGCAAATAGTCACTGCTAGACATGTCTGAAAATACCATCAAAAATTCTGCCAGGTTCACGGCCAACCTGAACTCACCCTTGGTGTATTTTCCCTCTATAAGGCAGTCTTTTGGGTCCAGATTGGCTCCTTGTTGACCTAAATTCAAAAGCTGTAAAAAAACGAACAAAGGATGAGTGATACCTTGCAGAAATGGTGTTACCGAAACCCAGAGTGTCACTTACTGGCGTCATAAATAATGAAGGACTAATAAATAATACATGGAAAAGAAAAGACCCTCGTCATTGTCACTTCATGTTTTCCTCACATTTTGTATCCATAAAGCCAGGCACAAATTGAATGAATATTTATTGAAAGGATGAATGGACATTTATAGGAGGTTTCACAATTCCTTATTTCCCTCAACAACTTTTATGTTATGCAAATGTTTTCTGTGTTTGAAAAAAAATACTTTAAAATGAAACTTGTTAAAACAATCTTTTATTGCTAGAACACTTGAAATCTCCCTTTTGCTTTTAAACACAATTTACCTGAGACCATGTACTATTTGCAGTATCAGAGGTAAACAGAAAAATCACTTTTTTTTTTTTTTTGAGACGGAGTCTCGCTCTGTCGCCCAGGCTAGAGTGCAGTGGCGCGATCTCAGCTCACTGCAAACTCCGCCTTCCGGGTTCACGCCATTCTCCTGCCTCAGCCTCCCGAGTAGTTGGAACTACAGGTGCCCGCCACCATGCCCGGCTAATTTTTTGTATTTTTAGTAGAGACAGGGTTTCACCGTGTTAGCCAGGATGGTCTCGATCTCCTGACCTAGTGATCCACCCTCATTGGCCTCCCAAAGTGCTGGGATTACAGGCGTGAGCCACCGCGCCTGGCCTCAGAAAAATCACTTTTATGGACTCAGATCAAGATGGTGCTTTCTCTGGGGGATTATGCCAAAATAGGAATGTGACCTGAAGGGAGAAGGAAGTGCACTTTAAAAACAGACCTTCGGCCGGACGCGGTGGCTCACGCCTGTAATCCCAGAACTTTGGGAGGCTGAGGCGGGTGGATCACGAGGTCAAGAGATCAAGACCATCCTGGCCAACATGGTGAAACCCCATCTCTACTAAAAATACAAAAATTAGCTGGGCATGGTGGCACGTGCCTGTAGTCCCAGCTACTTGGGAGGCTGAGGCAGGAGAATCGCTCGAACCTGAGAGGCGGAGGTTGCCATGAGCTAAGATCACACCACTGCACTCCAGCCTGGCGACAGAGTGAGACTCTGTCTCAAAAAAAAAAAAAAAAAAAAAAAAAAAACCACAAAAAAACAGGCACTTTAGAAGGCTGAGGTGGGAAGATTACATGAGGCCAGGAGTTTTAGATTAGACTGGGCAATGGTGCAAGACCCCCATCTCTCCAAAAACAGTTTTTAAATAGCCGGGTGTGTTGGCATGCACCTGTCATACTAGCTACTCAGGAGGCTGAGGAGGGAGAATCACTTGAACCCAGGAGTTTGAGGCTGCAGTGAGCTATGATCATGCCACTGTACTCCTGCCTGGGTGACAGAGTGAGATCCTGTCTCTAATAAATACATACATACAGAATGACAGACTTTCGGGAATAGCATTCAACAGCTATAGAAGACCATGTATTCTGCAGATGGTAACATGATAATGGGATGTGTCCTGCCATTTAGGGACAAGTGGAAGTGGTCATACTCTTTTTTTTTTTTTTTTTGAGATGGAGTCTCGCTCTTGTCACCCAGGCTGGAGTGCAATGGTACGATCTCAGCTCACTGCAACCTCCACCTCCCGGGTTCAAGCGATTCTCCTGCCTCAGCCTCCTGAGTAGCTGGGATTACAGGTGTCCACCACCATGCTCGGCTAATTTTTGTACTTTTAGTAGAGATGGGGTTTCACCATGTTGCCAGGATGGTCTCCAACACCTGACCTCAGGTGATCCGCCCGCCTTGGGCTCCCAAAATGCTGGGATTACAGGCATGAGCCACTGTGCCCCACCAGAAGTGTTCGTACTTATAAGTATTTTGAGTAAATACATATGCAGATAAATTTCCTTTTGGAAATATTTGTTGCTTAGGATTTTAAATGATTTGCAGATTAAAAGCTTCAGATTAGCTGTCATGGTTTCCCCTCCTCAACTTGGTGGGCTTGGAGTCAGGACTTTCAATTTAAAGAACGTGAGTACAATTTAGTGATTCTTTAGCAGAGAATGCTATTTATTTATTTATTGAGATAGTGTCTTGCTCTGTCATCCAGGCTGGAGTGCAGTGGTGCAGTCTTGGCTCACTGCAACCTCCACTGCCCAGTTTCAAGCGATTCTCCTGCCTCAGCTTCCCAAGTAGCTGGGACCATGGGCGTGCACCATTGCACCCGGCCAATTTTTGTATTTTTAGTAGAGATGGGTTTTCGTCATGTTGGCCAGGCTGTTCTCGAGCTCCTGTCTCAAGTGCTCCACCTGCCTCGGCCTCCCAAAGTGCTGGGATTACAGGCATGAGCCACTGCACCCTGCCTATTTATTTTTTTAAAGACAGGGTCTCGCTCTGTTGCCCAGGCTGGAGTGCAGTGGTACAATCAGAGCTCGCTGCAGCCTTGAACTCCTGGGCTTAAGGGATCTTCCCACCTCAGCCTCCTAAGTAGCTGGGACCACAAGCACACACCACCACGCCCAGCTAATTTTATTTTTTGTAGAGATGGGGTCTTGGTACATGACCAGGCTGGTCTCTAACTCCTGGGCTCAAGTGATCCTCCTGCCTCAGCCTCCCAAAGTACTGGCACTACAGGTATGAGCTCACTGCACCTGGCCTCCTTTCTTTAGATGAAATACATTCTTCTGTACAAAAGGCCAGGTGACAGAAGGTACTGTAAAATGTGCACTGGAGACAAAAATACATAGACCTAAGGTTGCAAGGGAACAAACTGTGTCCTCAAATAATTGCAATATCTAGGTAGGATCTTGCAGAGATGAAGAGGAGGCCAAGGAATAGGATTTAAAGCCTCCACTGTTAGTAACTAAGTGCAGGAAATGATAGCACTATTTATTTATTTATTTATTTATTTATTTATTTATTTATGTATTTATTTATTGAGTGCCCACACTATGCTGTGCACCTTGCTGGGTGCCTTCCATGCATTTTTTTTTATCCTTATGAGGACTCTTTTAGGGAATAAAAGAGAAGGGTTATTAAGTATGCTCAAGGTCATACCAAATAGTTGACAGAAATGGGCTTTGAACACAGGTCTGACTGATTTTTAAAAACTCTAGTTCTTCCATTAGCCAGGTGACACTCTAGAGCTTCCCACAGGCAATGGGCAGGTGGAGAGGGTGGAGCCTGAGATATTTATGGAAGCTGCCGAGCTAACTGGAATCCCTGACTCTTCTCACCTAGGTATGTGTAGCTGCTTTTCCGTTAGCGCCTTGGCAGGATTTCAGGAGCAGAGTAGGGACTCTGCTAACCAGATCAGTGTACTGGGTGATGTGCTCTTGGGCCCCAGACACTTGTGAACTCCTTTCTTTGTATAGCTGCCAGATAACATTCAAAACACTCCATTAAGTTTGAATTTCAGATGAACAATGAATAACTTTTTGTATATGTCCTCAATATTGCAAATATGGCATGAAGCAATTAATTTGCTAAACCTGGCAATGCTACTTCTTTGCCCTATTTCAAAATGGCTTAAATTATATATATATATATATATATATATATTTTTTTTTTTTTTTTTTTTTTTTTTAAGAGACGGAGTCTCATCTGTCACCCAGGCTGGAGTGCAGTAGTGTGATCTCGGCTCACTGCAACCTCTGCTTTCTGGTTTCAAGCGATTCTTCTGCCTCAGCCTCCCTAGTAGCTGGTATCACAGGTGTGCACCACGACACCCGGCTAATTTTTTTTTTTTTTTGACAGAGTCTCGCACTGCTGCCCAGGCTGGAGTGCAGTGGCACAATACTGGCTCACTGCAAGCTCTGTCTCCCGGGTTCACACCATTCTCCTGCCTCAGCCTCCCGAGTAGCTGGGACTACAGGCGCCTGTCACCACACCCGGCTAATTTTTTGTATTTTTAGTAGAGACACGGTTTCACCATGTTAGCCAGGGCGGTCTCGATCTCATGACCTCGTGATCCGCCCGTCTCGGCCTCCCAAAGTGCTGGGATTATAGGCGTGAGCCACCGTGCCTGGCCTTAAATTAGAATTAGCAAGTAGTTGTGTGCACTGGAGTGACTTGCAGTCTACACATGCTCTTTAGCTTGGAGTTACTGGAATTGTAAGAAACTCTGAACCACAAGCACGTCTCTTCTTCCACCCTGACCCCACCAAGCTGTTAAATGGTTTGTCAAGGGATGTCACTCTTATTCATTGTATTAGTTTCCAGTGCAGCAAACATAAATCTTATGTCCACAACTTATGTGGTATGCTGTAAATGTAAATTGATATTCTTTTTTTTTTTTTCCCTGGAGACAGGGTCTCCCAGGCTGGAGCACAATGGTGCAATCTCAGCTCACTGGAACCCCACCTTCCAGGCTCAGTCAGTCCTCCCACCTCAGCCTCCCAAGTAGCTGGGACTACAGACACCACCACACCCAGCTAATTTTGCATTTTTGTAGAGACGGGGTTTTGCCATGTTGCCTAGGCTGGAATTGATATTCTTTAACTCAACAAAATTTCTGTTTCAAAACCCCATTATTATTATTATTATTATTTTTGAGACAGAGTCTCACTCTGTCGCCCAGGCTAGAGTGCAGTGGCGTGATCTCCACCTGCCAGGTTCAAACGATTCTCCTGCCTCAGCCTCCCCAGTAGCTGGGATTACAGGCACCCATCACCATGCCTGGCTAATTTTTTGTATTTTTATAGAGACGGGGCTTCACCATGTTAGCCAGGATGGTCTCGGTCTCCTGACCTCGTGATCCACCTGCCCCAGCCTCCCAAAGTGTTGGGATTACAGGCATGAGCCACGGCACCTGGCCTACAACCCCCCATTGTTTTTAAGAGGTGGCAGAATATAACCTCAGTCAAGTCAGGGTTCACTGTCCCTGTCCCTTTTCCTAGAATTGTTCCCAGAGCTCACATAGTGCTATGTATGTGTGTGGTGGGTGGGGCGGGGGCTGGGGGGCGGGGGGAGCTTCCGTTCTTTGCTGTCCTCTGTGAAAATTACTACCGAGCCCCTCTCATTCCTGTCCATGTGGCCCCTTCAATCCAGGTGCTTTCTATTCTTCCCTATTCTACTCAGGCGCAAGCATCATCCTATTGTTTCTGTTCCATGCTAAGCCTTCAAACCCTTCTTGCACAGTGTAGCCAACTCTCTCCGGATTTTTTTTTTTTAAGTCTACAGCACCCGGTATTCCCAGGAGATCTCCCATCCAAGCACTTACCAGGCCCAGCCCTGCTTAGCCTCCAAGATCAGATGAGATCAGGCACATTCAGGGTGGTGTGCCCTGTACCTCTCTAGGTTCTTACTGCTCCACTGGAGTTCTTGGGGAGTGAAGCAGGGTCTGTTCTGCCATTTAATCCTACAAACTATCTCTCCAGGGCTCTTCTTCCAGGGAAAGGCACACAGTCCCTCTAGAGGAAACAAGGGCACCTGTGTCCTCTGGGTTTCCTCTTCCCTTCTGTACATTTTTCTCTCTGCCTAGGCAATTTTTTTCCTAAGGATGACTGGAGGGAGGCCCACCTTCCTAAGCATCCCCACTGTCCAGCTCTCAAACATTTTTCCTGTGTATCTATTTCTCTAAAGAGCTTAAGTTTTTGGAAATTACTGGACATTTATTTCCTTTTCACCCTGGCTGCTTCTTCCCCCAAGGCAATGAACACAAAAGAATTTAGCTGCTTGCAAGCAGGGGGAAAGAAGATAAGGAGCACTAAAGAGGAATGTACCCTAACCAGCTTTACACATCCTGGGGCTTTTTTTTTTTTTTTTTTTTTACAGAATCTTGCTCTGTCACCCAGGCTGGAGAGCACTGGCGTGATCTTGGCTCACTGCAACCTCCATCTCCCAGGTTCAAAGGATCCTCCCGCCTTAGCCTCCCGAGTAGCTGGGATTACAGGCATGTGCCACCACACCCAGCTAATTTTTGTATTTTTAGTAGAGATGGGTTTCACCATGTTGGCCAGGCTGGTCTTGAACTCCTGACCTCAGGTGATCTGCCTGCCTTGGCCTCCCAAAGTGCTGGGATTACAGGCGTGAGCCACCACGTCTGGCCGTCTCAGGCCTTCTTTTCAAGGCCAGAACTAAAAATTAGGTCCTGATTTGATTAACTTCTACCTTTCCATAGTAGTCCACCAGTCTGGCATCTGCATTAGATAGGAATAATTGATTGATTGATTGATTGATTCGAGACAGGGTCTTGCTCTATTGCCCAGGCTGGAATACAGCAGTGCCATCACAGCTCTCTGCAGCCTTGACCTCTTGGGCTCAAGTGATCCTCCTGCCTCAGCCTCCTGAGTAGCTGGGACTACAGGTGTGTGCCACCACACCCAGCTTTTTTTTTTTTTTAATTTTTAGTAGAGACAAGGTTTCACTGTGTTGCCAAGGCTGGTCTCAAACTCCTGGCTTCAAGTAATCCATCCACCTCAGCCTCTCAAAGTATTAGGATTACAGGTGTGAGCTGCTGCACTTGGCCTAGATGAGAAATACTTAAAGCATAGGTTCTCAGGCTACACTCTAGACCTACAGATTCTCTAGAGTTGAACTTACAAATCTGTCTTTTAACAAACTCCCAGTATTTTGCTTATGTACTCAGTTGCACTGGTCCTCCGACTTGGTTTTGGCTAAAACTCCCTGAAAGTCACTTTCTTTCCCACATCTTCTGTCTTTTTTTCTGTTTCTTTCTTACCCCAGTAGTGGTAACATCCAGTTAGAGTCCCTTCCATATAACCAAAATCTGGTGTGGAGTTCTGTATCCATTTCTCAAAGGGAAGATAAGGTGGAGGGCAAGAGGATGTTCATGTGTCTTGTTTACTCTTACCCATTTTTTAGCCTTATTTATTTATTTATTTATTGAGACAGAGTTTCGCTCTTGTTGCCCAGGCTGGAGTGCAATGGTGCGGTCTCGGCTCACTACCACCTCCTGGGTTCAAGTGATTCTCCTGCCTCAGCCTCCTGAGTAGCTGGGATTACAGGCATGCGCCACCACGCCCGGCTAATTTTGTATTTTTAGTAGAGAGGGGGTTTCTCTATGTTGGTCGGGCTGGTCAGGCTGGTCGCAAACTCCCAACGTCAGGTGATCCGCCTGCCTCGGCCTCCCAGCGTGCTGGGATTACAGACGTGAGCCACCGCGCCTGGCCTTTTAGCTCATTTTTATCATCCTGTTCATGCTCCAAGTTGAAAATCATAATCTAATCCACCAAACAAGCCCATCTGAAGAGCGTATCTTCAACCTGTGTCAGATGCAAAAATATTTTGCAGCAGCCAGAAGTGGTGGCGGGCACCTGTAATCCCAGCTACTTGAGAGACTAAGGCAGGAGGATTCCTTGAGCCCAGGAATTTGAGGCTGTAGTGCGCTGTGATCACTCCTATAATAGTCACTGTACTCCGGCCTGGGCAACATACTGATGCATCGTCTCTTTAAAAAAAAGGGTTTTTTGTTTGTTTGTTTGTTTGTTTGTTTGTTTTTAAATTCTTGCCATTGAGCTTCAGAAAAAACCAAAAACTTCCAAGAGACCTAAATGCTGTTTGATTCTTATGGAGAATCATCAGCATATATAAACCTCCCAGTTTTTCAAGGTTTGGGGATACTTACAGAGGAAACAGACTAATCTATTTATATATCCCCAAAGTAGATAAATTACATAGTAAGTTTTTTTTAGATTGCTCGCATGGATGTGTTTATTGTTAAACCCCAGCCTAATTTATTTGGAGAGAAGAGTTCACTCTCTTTTAAGTGAATATGGCTAGGTAGGCCATGTTTGGCTGCCAATATCTTCAACCTATTTTATTCCAAAATGAGGTAGGAGTGCTGAGCTAAACTGGTGCCCTTAAGGGTTACGTCCTAGAGACTAAAGATGCATTCACTGAAAGTCATTCATGAGCAATGATTGGGAAGACTCACCTGCTGGAATGGTTGTTGATATTTATAAGTCAGCAATATTTCTTGACTCAACAAAAAGTCATGCATTGTTATGATGACATCAGCATACTAAAATACTACTCCATGTGAAATAACAAAGCAAAGAATATTACAGCTGGGCATGATGATCACACTAGAAATCCTAGCACTTTGGGAGGCTGACGTGAGAGGATCACTTGGGCGCAGGAGTTCAAGACCAGCCTGGGCAACACAGTGAGACCTCACCTTTAATTAAAAAAAAATAATAATAATCAAAGCAAATTACGAACAAAGAAGAGGGGCAGGCTGAGCAGGAGGCAGAGAAATGAACTGTAGCCTAAGCAGGTTCCAGTAATTACCTCTTTTATTTTAAGAACTGAATATCTCGTTCCAGGCTCAAATTATCGAGAAGTACATCTTTTCCTTTAAAGTTGATTAAGCAGCGGTATCTCTTCCAAGCTGAAAATATTATAACAGATGCCAACTGTCTGCAGAGGACTCTGCTAGATGCTGTAAATAAAGAAAACAAGTTTTCCTGCACAGAATGTCCTTTGTTTCCTAAAAGGTTGGTACAGAGTTGGAGTTAGAGACCAAAGAAATCACAGACTTCACAGGTTGAAAGGAACTATAATGTTCTCTTAGGCCAGTCCCACAAGTAATGGGTGAATTATTCCTTCTGCTTCCCCTCTGAGCGCCCATTGGACTTGGGCCTTATAGCTCCGGAAATGCAGATCTGTGCTTCCTGACGGGTGGAGAGCAGTCCTGGCTGGTAGCAGCTGTGTCTGAGTGGGAGTCGGCAGGAGGGAGGGCGCCATGGGAACAGCTTGCATTAGGCTGCTTGCTGCTCCTGGCTGAGCCCTGGGGGCGTGCTCTGGGGACTTGGCCTGGATGGACTTGAACCTTAGGCAGACTTTATCAGCAAGTGCTCCCTTGGCTAAAAAGCTGATTTCTCATACTATTTGCATTGTTTTAGGTATTTCTACTTTAGACAAAAGAACTTGTTCTTTGTGACGCTTTGTCCAGGTGGGAATCTTTTTTTTATTTTTTTATTTTATTATTCATTCATTCACTTAATAAATTTTCATCGAGTTACTCCTGTTTCATTAAAGGCAACTGAGGGTTGGGCAGGCGGCGCAAAGGCAGGTGGCGGTGGCTCATGCCTGTAATCCCGGTACTTTGGGAGGCTGAGGTGGGTAGATCACCTGATGTCAGGAGTTTTGAGACCAGCCTGGCCAACACGGTGAAACCCCTTCTCTACTAAATACAAAAATTAGTGGGATGTGGTGGTGGGAACCTGTAATCCCAGCTACTCGGGAGGCTGAGGCAGGAGAATTGCTTGAACCTGGGAGGTGGAGGCTGCAGTGAGCCGACATTGCGCCACTGCACTCTAGCCTGGCTGACAGAGTGAGACTCCGTATGACCAAAAAAAAAAAAAAAAAAAAAAGGCCGGGCGCGGTGGCTCACGCCTGTAATCCCAGCACTTTGGGAGGCCGAGGCGGGCAGATCACGAGGTCAGGAGATCGAGACCATCCTGGCTAACACGGTGAAACCCCGTCTCTACTAAAAATACAAAAAATTAGCCGGGTGTAGTGGCGGGCACCTGTAGTCCCAGCTACTCGGGAGGCTGAGGCAGGAGAATGGCGTGAACCCGGGAGGTGGAGCTTGCAGTGAGCTGAGATCGCGCCACTGCACTCCACTCTGGGCGACAGAGCGAGACTCCGTCTCAAAAAAAAAAAGAAAAAAGGCAACCGAGGCTCAGAGAGCTTAGGTTAAATACTCAAAGTCACAATTTTGTGACTAAGTGACAGAATGGACATCTCCTGACTCAAATTCCAGTGTGTTTTATACTATTTTGGGGGTGGTATTACATTATTTTCATCGAGTAGTTTTTAAAAAACTCAATATTGTTTATTAAAGTACATCTCTGGCCGGGCGCGGTGGCTCATGCCTATAATCTCAGCACTTTGGGAGGCTAAGGTGGGTGGAACGAGGTCAGGAGTTAGAGACCAGCCTGGCCAACAGGATGAAACCCCGCCTCTACTAAAAATATAAAAATTAGCTGAGGGTGGTGGCGTGCACCTGTAGTCCCAGCTACTCAGGAGGCTGAGAAAGAAGAATCACTTGAACCCGGGAGGCAGAAGTTGTAGTGAGCCGAGATCGCACCATTGCACTCCAGCCTGGGCGACAGAGTGCTCCATCTCAAAAAATAATAATATTAATAAAGTACTTCTCCTATTTCTCTTTCATTGACAGCACTAGGATGACACAGATGCAGAAAGGACAAAAGGGAACTGACAGACACTGAAATTTTGTAATACACCAGGTTCAATATCAGACACCTTATATGTAGCATCTCATTCAATTTTCACAATCATCCTATAAAATAGTATGTACTATTGCTCCCATTTTTCTTCTTTTTTTGTTTTCATTTTTTTCCTCCCATTTTACAGATAAGGAAATTAGGGCTTAGAAAGGTTAAATAGGCCAGGTGCAGTGGCTCACGCTTGTAATCCCAGCACTTTGGGAGGTGAAGGTGGGAGCGTTGTGTGAGGCCAGGAGTTCAAGACCGGCCTGGGCAAGATAGTGAGACCATCTCATCTCTACAAAAAATAAAAATTTAAAAATTAAAATACATTTGTTAAAAAGATTAACTTGCCCAAGTTCACCTAGGTGTCAAGTATTAGAGGTAGGGTTTCTTTTTGAGATGGAGTCGCACTCTGTTGCCCAGGCTGGAGTGCAGGGGCCCGATCTCAGCTCACTGCAAGCTCTGCCTCCCGGGTTCACGCCATTCTCCTGCCTCAGCCTCGTGAGTAGCTGGGACTACAGGCGCCCGCTACCAGGCCCGGCTAATTTTTTTTTTTTTTGTATTTTTAGTAGAAACGGGGTTTCACCGTGTTGGCCAGGATGGTCTCAATCTCCTCCTGACTTTGTGATCCGCCCGCCTCGGCCTCCCAAAGTGCTGGGATTACAGGCGTGAGCCATCGTGCCCGGGACTAGAGCTGGGTTTTGAATCGAGTTCTTTCTTACCCAAAAGTCATTAAATATACTGCCTCCCATGCCCCTAAGCAAGATAAACTGGATATCTAAATGCCCACTTAATTCCAATTAGCTCTGCTCAAATTTTACATGTACTTCAAGGGAGAGCCTTTATACTGGCCTTTGATCCTGAGCTTAATTGACCAGGAGACACTGACAGTCCTATGTAAAAAAAAGTTAGTCAATTAACACTCGCATTTTTACCTAGGCCCAAAAATAGCTGAAGGGGATTACTTGAACAAAATAAGTGAGAAGAAAAGGTTACTAGAGTTCCTATGATCTCTGACCTTCTGGAACCGCTCTGATTGTTTCCAAATTTATGCTGTGAAAGTTAATTTTAGTTTTTCCCACCAGAGCTTTCATTCATTGATCTATGCACTTGAAGTCACATAGGATTCAAATCCTCTTCCATATGACAATGCTTCAAATTATTTGCAGTGGGCTTTCAAGTGTTCCTAGGGTTTGAGTGGGAGGTGTGGCATAGAGTTGGGTTACCGGCCTCTGATGAAACATGGCATATTAATCACACACTTTTGTATCCTTTCCCCTCCAAAACCATGTATGTGATAGCAAGTAAATAAAGGTATTAAACCAATAGGTAAAAAGGAAGGAAAAGATGACAACAGCGGACAATTTGTTTTGTTTTGTTTTTGTTTTTTTTTGAGACAGAGTCTTGCTCTGTCGCCCAGGCTAGAGTGCAGTGGTGCCATCTCGGCTCACTGCAAGCTCTGCCTCCCGGGTTCAAGCGATTCTCCTGCCTCAGCTTCCTGAGTAGCTGGGACTACAGGCGCCCGCCACCACGCCCGGCTAATTTTTGTATTTTTAGTAGAAACGGGGTTTCACTGTGTTAGCCGGGATGGTCTCAATCTCCAGACCTCGTGATCCGCCCGCCTTGGCCTCCCAAAGTGCTGGGATTACAGGCGTGAGCCAGCGCGCCCGGCCTTTTTTTTTTTTTTTTTTTTTTTTTGGTGATACGGAGTCTCACTCTGTCGCCCAGGCTGGAGTGCAGTAGCACGATCTCGGCTCTTTACAACCTCAGCCTCCCAGTGAGAAGTGACAGCCTGCTGGCAGCCCTCACTCTTGGCGCCTCCTCGGCCTCGGCGCCCACTCTGGCCACGCTTGAGGAGCTCCTTCAGCTTGCCACTGCACTATGGGGCCCCCCCTCTGGGCTGGCCAAGGCCAGAGTTAGCTCCCTCTGCTTGCAAGGAGGTGTGGAGGGAGAGGCGCCGCGGGGAACTGGGGCTGTGCGCGGCGCTCGGGGGCCAGCGCGAGTTCCGGGTGGGCGTGGGCTCGGCGGGCTCCGCACTCGGAGCGGTCGCCCCACGCCACAGGCCCTGGGCAGTAAGAGGCTTAGCAGCTGCGGAAGGTGTGCCAGGTCCCCAAGCAGTGCCGGTCCACCGGGGCTGCGCTTGAATTCTCCCCGGGCCTCAGCTGCCTACCGGCGGGGCAGACCTCCAGACCTGCAGCCTGCCATGCCCCAGCCTACCCCCGCCGCCACCACCGCCGGCTCCTGCGCGGCCCGAGCCTCCCCGACAAGCGCCGCCCCCTGCTGCGCGGCGCCTGGTCCCGTGGACTGCCCAAGGGCTGAGAAGTGCCGGCGCACTGCGGGAGACTGGCAAGCAAGTCCACCTGTAGCTCCAGTATGAGATCCACTTGGTGAAGCCAGTTGAGGTCCTGAGTTTAGTGGAGACTTGGAAATGGAAAACCTTTATGTCTAGCTAAGGGATTGCAAATACACCAATCAGCACTCTGTGTCTATCTCAGGGTTTGTAAATGCACCAATCAGCACTCTGTATCTAGCTCAAGGTTTGTAAATGCACCAATCAGTGCGCTGTGGGGACTTGGAGAACGTTTGTGTCTAGCTCAGGGATTGTAAACACACCAATCAGCACCCTGTCAAAATGGACCAATCAACTATCTGTAAAACAGACCAATCAGTTCTCTGTAAAATGGACCAATCAGCAGGATGCGGGTGGGGCCAGATAAAGGAATAAAAGCAGGCTGCCGGAGTCAGCAGTGGTAATCTGGTTGGGTTGCTTTCTGTGTTATGAGGGCTTTGTGTTTTTTTGTTCTTTACGTTAAAACTTGTTGCTGCTCCCTTTGTGAGTTACATCATTGAATGCAAAGGTTTGTCGTTTCATTGTTGAGTCAGCAAGGCCGTGAACCTACCAGAAGGGTAAAACTGTAAATATGTCATCTTTAGTAGTAGTTTAATAGTCATCATCCGCAGCTTCATTTTTCAAGTCAGTGAGATCAAGAAACAACAAATTAGGGACACATCAGGTTCTAAGTGATTCTCTTGCCTTAGCCTTCCGAGTAGCTAAGACTTACAGGCGTGCACGCCACCACATTGAGCTAGTTTTTTGTATTTTTAGTAGAGTTTTCACCATGTTAGCCAGGCTGATCTTGATCTCTTGAACTTGTAATCTGCCCATTCTCAGCCTCCCAAAGTGCTGGTATTACAGACATGAGTCACAGTGCCTGGCTGACGAAATTTTTTTGGGAGAGGGAAAGCAAATAGAAAAGAGAACCTCATTTAGCAGGGCAGAGAACATTACAGACTAAAGACCAGGAGAAGGTATTTGAGATGTAAAGAGAACCTCGAGGTTCTTGGTACAATGGGAAGCTGGAGAGAGGCCCATGGCTGAAAACAAGGAGATGGGTTCGGAGTCTGGGTACACACCTACTGATTCCCAGTTCTTCTCTCCTACCTTAGGCAGCCAGGGTGGGAGAGGAGAACTGGGGATTAGTAGGTATGTACCTCTCTCCTCATCTTCATAGGAGTCCAGAGGTTTATTTTCCAGAGCATTGAACCCGTGGGGTCTGGTTCAGAGTATCTGCTTAGTACAGTGAATAAATGTACAAAAATAAGTGAACACCTTCTAATTGAACGTGGAATGGGATCTGCACACCTAGAACACTGCAACTTCCCACACCTACTTCCCCTCCCTCATGCACTGCCTGTTAGTCACTTAGTAGCTGTCTCTCTCAGATTGGCTGACATACTGTGTATATAGGATTTAATACTATTTGTGGTTTCAGGCATCCTCTGGGGGGCTTGGAACATATCTCCCACGGATAAAGGGAGACTTCTGTACAATACAAGAGCTTAAGAATGCTTTTCACGCCAATGACTCCTCTTACCATTGACCATATTTTAGTTCTTTGTTTTCACACTATCACGTTTTGTTTTGTTATTTTGTTGATGCTTGTTTTGATTTACCCACATATTGATACCCACATATTGACCAATTCCTTTGCTCACTACTCTTTCTTGATTCTTCTTCCTTCCTTCTGGATTTCTTTCTTTTCCTTCCAGACATTAAACTGATCAGAACAGATACTACACTTGATCCTAGCCAAAAGGCCAAGAAGTGATTAATTTCCTCCTTCTTAAAGTGCTTCATTAAATAGTTCTTTCATTTATTTATTTGTATTTATTTATTTTTTAGAGAGTCTCACCTTATTGCCCAGGCTGGAGTGTGATGGCACAATCACAGCTCGCTGCAGCCTCAAACTCCTGGCCTCAAGTGATCCTCCAAGCTCAGCTTCCCAAAGTGCTGGGATTACAAGCATAAGCCACTGCACCTGGTCCCTTAAATAGTTATTTTAATAGGATCACCTATAAATGATAAATTCCTTCAGTCTTTGCCTAAACTATTATTTGACCTTTTCATGAATTGTCGACTAGTAGAAACTGAAGTATAGGTTGGCATTTTCTCTCAGAATTTTGAAGCTGTTCCTTTATCTTTTGATTTCTATTGGTATGTTTGAAAAGTCTGCTGTCAATCCGATTGTCAATTCTTTTTCATTTGTGTCTTTTTTTTTTTTTTTTTTTGAGATGGAGTTTTGCTCTGTCACCCAGGCTGGAGCGCAGTGGCACGATCTTGGCTCACTGCAACTTCTGCCTCCCAGGTTCAAGTGATTCTTCTGCCTCAGTCTTCCAAGTAGCTGGGGTTACAGGTGCACACCACCATGCCTGGCTAATTTTTGTATTTTTAGTAGAGATGGGGTTCACCATATTGGCCAGGCTGGTCTCGAACTCCTGGCCTCAGGTGATCCACCCAACTCGACCTCCCAACATGCTGGGATTACAGGCATGAGCCACTGTGTCTGGCCTCATTTCTTTATTAATTTTTTATTTTTATTTTTTTTGAGACGGAGTCTCACTCTGTCACCCAGGCTGGAGTGCAGTGGCGCAATCTCAGCTCACTGCAAGATCCACCTCCCATGTTCACACCGTTCTCCTGCCTCAGCCTCTCCAAGTAGCTGGGACGACAGGCGCCTGCCACGCCGGGCTAATTTTTTGTATTTTTAGTAGAGACAGGGTTTCACCGTGGTCTTGATCACCTGACCTCGTGATCTGCCCGCCTTGGCCTCCCAAAGTGCTGGGATTACAAGTGTGAGCCACCGTGCCTGGCCTATTTATTATTAATAATAATAATAATAATTATTATTATTATTTTGAGACGGAGTCTTGCTCTGTTGCCCAGGCTGGAGTGCAGTGTCATGATCTCTGCTCACTACAAGCTCCGCCTCCTGGATTCACGCTATTCTCCTGCCTCAGCCTCCCGAGTAGCTTGGACTACAGGCACCCGCCACCATGGCCGGCTAATTTTTTGTACTTTTAGTAGAGACGGGGTTTCACCATGTTAGCCAGGATGGTCTCGATCTCCTGACCTTGTGATCTGCCCGCCTCGGCCTCCCAAAGTGCTGGGATTACAGGCGTGAGCCACCACGCCCAGCCCTTATTATTATTATTTTTTAGTACAGATGGGTTTTCACCATTTTGGCCAGGCTGGTCTCGAACTCCTGACCTCAACTGGTCTGCCCACCTCACCCTCCCAAAGTGCTGGGATTACATAGGCATTTAGCCACCATGCCTAGCAATTGTCATTAATTTGTAACTAATATCTATTTTATCTGAATGCTTTTAAGATATTTTATTTATCTTTGGTGTTCTGCAGTTTCATGTAACATGTCTAATTATAGACTTTTGAATGTATGTGTCAAGAGACTTATTGTACCTCCTGAATCTGAGAACTCATGTCCTTCATCAGTTCTGAAAAATGTTCAGCAATTGAATCTTCTCCCTTTGCCTTCCCCATTCTTGCATGCTTGTTTTCCTTTGATACTCATATTGATTTATAATTGGTCTTCTCATTCTGTCCTTCATCTCTGTTGCTCTTCCATATTTATCTCTTTTCTTCATCTCTCTGTGCAATACTTTTTAAAAAAATCTCTTCCACCTTTACCCGTCTTTCTTCCTCAATGTCTTCTCTGCTGTTAACACATTTATTGAGAGTGCGTTTGTTTGAGACAGAGTCTGGTTCTGTTGCCCAGGTTGGAGTGCAGGTGTAATCATAGCTCACTGCAGCTTCAACCTCCTGGGCTCAGGCAATCCTCCTGCCTCAGCCTCCCAATCACAGACACTTACCATTATGCCCAGCTAATTTTTAAATTATTTGTAGAGATGGAGTCTTCCCATGTTGCCCAGGCTGGTCTCAAACTCCTGGGCTCTAGTGATCCTCCAACTTTGGCCTTCCAAAGTGCTGGGATTACAGGCAGGAGCCACCATGCCCGGATTCATTGAGTTTTTAATTTGCATAAATGTAGCTTTCATTTCTTCAGATTCTTGGGTCTTTTCCCAATATTCCTCTTCTTTTTTATATTATTTTATTTCCTTTTCAAGTCTTTTAAAATGTCTAATTATTTAAAAGATAGTTATTTGATAGTGCCTATCTAAGAGTTGTGTATCTTAAATCTTAGTAATCTAATTTTGCTGTTTTTGTCTTTGCTGATTCTTCTGTTTACTTTGTTGATTTGTAATTTTTTAAATCATGAACTCATTTTCAGCAGGGCTTTCTCTGTGAATGTTCTTGCTTTTCTAGTTCCTTGAGATGCATCATTAGATTATTTTATTTTTTGAGATGGAGTTTCACTCTTGTTGCCCAGGCTAGAGTGCAATGGAGTGATTTTGGCTCACTGCAACCTCTGCCTCCCAGGTTCAAGCAATTCTCCTGTCTCAGCCTCCCTCGCTGGGAGCCTTCCTTGCTGGGATTATAGGCACCTGCCACCACGCCCAGCTAATTTTTGTATTTTTTTAGTAGAGATGGGGTTTCACCATGTTGGCCAGGCTCGTCTTGACCTCCTGACCTCAGATAATCCACCCACCTTGGCTTCCCAAAGTCCTGGGATTACAGGTGTGAGCCACCGCACCTGACCAGAAACATGTTACTTAACTTCCTTGTATTTGTACAATTTCAAAAGTTCATTATTGATTTCTAGCTTTATTCCATTATTGGCAGAAAAGGTATTTGATATGATTTCAATTCTTTTAAGTTTGTAGAGACTTGTGGCCTAACGTGGTCTGTGCTGGAATATGTTCCATGTGCTGATGAAAATATTGCACACTTACTAAGAACTAGGTAAAAGACAAAAATAATGTGTATTCTGCAGCTCTTAGAGGAAATGTTGTGTAAATAGCTGTTAGGTCCATTTGGTTAGAAGTCCAGTTTTTCTTTTTTTTTTTTTTTTGTATTTTTAGTAGAGACAGGGTTTCACCGTGTTAGCCAGGATGGTCTCGATCTCCTGACCTCGTGATCCTCCTGCCTCAGCCTCCCAAGGTGCTGGGATTACAGGCGTGAGCCACCATGCCTGGCCCAGTTTTTCTTTTTTTATTTTCTGTCTAGATGATGTGTCCAATGCCGAGAGTGGGACATTGAGATCCCCAACTACTTGTATTGGAGTCAGCCTACTTCTCTTTTTTTTTTTTTGAGATGGAGTTTCACTCTTGTTGCCCAGGCTGGAGTGCAATGGCATGATCTCAGCTCACCACAACCTCTGCCTCCGAGGTTCAAGTGATTCTTATGCCTCAGCCTCTCGAGTAGCTAGAATTACAGGCATGCGCCACCACGCCCAGCTAATTTTGTATTTCTAGTAGAGACGGGGTTTCTCCATGTTGGTCAGGCTGGTCTCGAACTCTCAACCTCAGGTGATACGCCCGACTTGGCCTCACAAAGTGCTGGGATTACAAGCATGAGCCACCGCACCCAGCCGCCTATCTCTCTTTAGCTCTAGTACTTGGTTTATGTATCTTCATACTCCAGTGTTGGGTGCATATGTATTTATAATTTTTTTTTTTAATTGATCATTCTTGGGTGTTTCTCACAGAGGGGGATTTGGCAGGGTCATAGGACAATAGTGGAGGGAGGGTCAGCAGATAAACAAGTGAACAAAGGTCTCTGGTTTTCCTATGCAGAGGACCCTGTGGCCTTCCACAGTGTTTGTGTCCCTGGGTACTTGAGATTAGGGAGTGGTGATGACTGTTAACGAGCATGCTGCCTTCAAGCATCTGTTTAACAAAGCACATCTTGCACCACCCTTAATCCATTTAACCCTGAGTGGACACAGCACATGTTTCAGAGAGCACAGGGTTGGGGGTAGGGTCACCGATCAACAGGATCACGAGGCAGAAGAATTTTTCTTAGTACAGAACAAAATGAAAAGTCTCCCGTGTCTACCTCTTTCTACACAGACATGGCAACCATCCGATTTCTCAATCCTTTCCCCGTCTTTCCCCCCTTTCTATTCCACAAAACCGCCATTGTCATCATGGCCCGTTCTCAATGAGCTGTTGGGTACACCTCCCAGACGGGGTGGTGGCTGGGCAGAGGGGCTCATCACTTCCCAGTAGGGGCAGCCGGGCAGAGGCGCCCCTCACCTCCGGACCGGGCGGCTCGCCGGGCGGGGGGCTGACCCCCCCACCTTCCTCCCGGATGGGGCGGCTGGCCGGGCAGAGGGGCTCCTCACTTCCCAGTAGGGGCGGCCGGGCAGAGGCGCCCCTCACCTCCCGGACGGGGCGGCTGGCCGGGCGGGGGGCTGACCCCCCCCACCTCCCTCCCGGACGGGGCGGCTGGCCGGGCAGAGGGGATCCTCACTTCCCAGTAGGGGCGGCCGGGGCGGCTGGGTGGGGGGCTGACCCCCCCACCTCCCTCCCGGATGGTGCGGCTGGCCGGGCGGGGGGCTGACCCCCCCACCTCCCTCCTGGACGGGGTGGCTGGCCTGGCGGGGGCTGACCCCCACCTCCCTCCCGGATGGGGTGGCTGCCTGGCAGAGACGCTCCTCACTTCCCAGATGGGGTGGCTGCCGGGTGGAGGGGCTCCTCACTTCTCATATGGGGCGGTTGCCAGGCGGAGGGTCTCCTGACTTCTCAGACGGGGTGGCTGGGCAGAGACGCTCCTCACCTCCCAGACGGGGTCGCGGCCGGGTAGAGGCGCTCCTCACATCCCAGACGGGGTGGCGGGGCAGAGGCGCTCCCCACATCTTAGATGATGGGCAGCCGGGCAGAGACGCTCCTCACTTCCTAGATGGGATGGCGGCCAGGAAGAGGCGCTCCTCACTTCCTAGATGGGATGGCGGCCGGGCAGAGACGCTCCTCACTTTCCAGACTGGGTAGCCAGGCAGAGGGGCTCCTCACGTCCCAGACGATGGGCGGCCAGGCAGAGACGCTCCTCACTTCCCAGACGGGGTGGCGGCCGGGCAGAGGCTGCAATCTTGGCACTTTGGGAGGCCAAGGCAGGCGGCTGGGAGGTGGAGGTTGTAGCGAGCCGAGATCACGTCACTGCACTCCAGCCTGGGCACCATTGAGCACTTAGTGAACCAGACTCCGTCTGCAAACCCGGCACCTCGGGAGGCCGAGGCTGGCGGATCACTCGCAGTTCGGAGCTGGAGACCAGCCCAGCCAACACAGCGAAACCCCGTCTCCACCAAAAAAATACGAAAACCAGTCAGGCGTGGTGGCGCACGCCTGCAATCGCAGGCACTCGGCAGGCTGAGGCAGGAGAATCAGGCAGGGAGGCTGCAGTGAGCCGAGATGGCAGCAGTACAGTCCAGCTTCGGCTCGGCGTCAGTGGGAGACCGTGGAAAGAGAGGGAGAGGGAGACCGTGGGGAGAGGGAGAGCGGGGAGAGGGAGAGGGGAGAGGGGAGAGGGAGAGCTAAAGCATGTATTTATAATTGTTATATCCTCTTGCTAAATTGATCCTTTTATCATTATATAATCACTTTCTTTGTCTTTTTTTATCGTTTTTGAATTAAAGTCTGTTTTATTTCATGTAAGTACAGCTACTCCCAGTCACTTTTTGTTTTTGTTTGCATGGAATATCTTTTTAATTATTTATTTTGTGAGATGGGGTCTCGCTCTGTCACCCAGGCTGGAGTGCTGTGGTGTGATCATGACTTACTGCATCTCTGAACTTCTGGGCTTAAATGATCCTCCTGCCTCAGCCTCCCAAGTAACTGGGACTACAGGTGTGCACCATCATGTCCAGTTAATGTTTAAATTTTTCGTTGAGACAGGGTCTTGCTCTATTGCCCAGGCTGGTCTCAAACTCCTGGGCTCAGGTGATCCTCCCACTTCAGCCTCCCAAAGTGCTGGGATTATAGGCATGAGCCAACGTGCCAAGAATGCATGAAATATCCTTTCCACCCATTCACTTTCTGTTTAATATGTGTTTTTACAGTGAAGTGAGCTTCTTACAGGCAGCATGTAATTGGGTCATGGGTTTTTTTGTTTTTTGACAGAGTCTTGCTCTGTCTCCCAGTGGTGCCATCTTGGCTCACTGCAACCTTCACCTCCCAGGTTCAAGCTATTCTCCTGCCTCAGCCTCCTGAGTAGCTGGGACTACAGGCACCTACCACCACACTCGGCTAATTTTTTTGTATTTTTGGTAGAGACAGGGTTTTACCATGTTGGCTAGGCTGGTCTCAGACTCCTGACCTCAAGTGGTCCACCTGCCTTGGCCTCCCAAAATGCTAGGATTACAGGTGAGAGCCACCGCTCCCAGCTTGGGTCATGGGTTTTAAAAATCTATTCAGTCAGTTCGTATCTTTTCGAAACATTCACATGTATTTTTTAAGGCTAGTCAAGTGAAACAGTGGGAGTGGAGAAGGAACAAAGAAATCTGTAACTGGTTATGTTCAGTAAGTTGTAAACACCTCTGCACTCAGACCCTCAGGCTTTATCTTTTAAGAAGGAGTTCAATCCATTTACATTCAAGGATTCAAGGTTATTATTGATAGGTTAGGACTTACTTCTGTCATTTTGTTAATTGTTTTCTGATTGTTTTCGTATATCCATTGTTCCTTTCTTCCTTTCTTATTGTGTATCATTGTGATTTGGTTGTTCTCTGTAGTAATAAGGTTTGATTCTTTGCTTTCTTTTTTGTGTATCTGCCTAGCAGTGAGTTTTATACTTGTGTGTTTTCATGACAGTGATTATCATCTTTTCACTTTCAGATGTTGCAATCCCTTGAGCATTTCTTGTAAGGCTGCTCCATTGGTGATACATTTCCTCAGTTTTTGCTTGCCTGGGAAAGACTTTATTTCTCCCTCATTTCTCAAATACTAGGTGTCGTATTCTTGACTGGCAGATTTTTTGTTCAGCACTTTGAATATATCATCCCATTCTCTCATGGCCTGTAAGGTTTCAGTGGAAAAATCTGATGTTAGTCTAATAGGAATCCCCTTATATGTGACTTGACAGTTTTCTCTTGCTGTTTTTAGGATTCTCTTTTTCTTTGACTTTTGACAATTCAACTATAATGTGCCTCAATGAGAACCTTTTTGAATTCTTCAGCTGCAGGATTTGTTTGGTTCTTTTTTTAAAAAAAAAAAGTTATAATGGAATCTAATTTATTATGAAGAATATGAATAAAGGCTACTTTTGGACCTGCAAATCGTATGTTAAATATTGAGGGGAGAAAGGAGAAATAAAAAGGAATACACATGAAAAGTGGGAGTGGTGCAAATGTGGAGGGAACATTCTTAGAAAGAGGCAAAGAGTTCAGAAGGGTATGGAGGGACAGTGGAGGCACTCATATATGGGGTACATGTGGGCAGCGGTTTGCAGCAGAGGAAAACAATCAGCTATTTGATGCTCATTCCATAAAGAGAGTTAGGCCACTGAAGGAGTTGGTTTATATACATTATCTTATTTAATCTGCCCATTAACTGGTAAGACTGATATTGTCCCTGCTTTATATGAAAAAACAGATTTACATGAATATGTCCAGGTAACTGGTGGCTAAATTACAAGGCAAAACAATGTCTTCCCTACTCTAAAGCCCAGTTCTTGTCTTTAGCATTTGATAAATTTTACTTGTTGAGAGTGCTATATTTGTAATGTCATTCATTTTCCCTTACCAATATATACCCTTCTCCAAGCTAAATCAGGTGTGTCCCACACACATATACACAAATTCCACATGGCATAAATCACATTATCATACCTATAAAAGGAACAATTTCCACTTACAGCTACATATACCTAGGAGAGGTCAAAATTGAGTGCTGGGTTTCATCAAAAACTGTTTTCAACCAGGTAAAGTCATTAAACAACCATAAACTTTCAGCAAACTAACATCCTACAATTAGAATTTTGAGTAATCTGGTATGTACAAAATATTATTGGACCAAACTACAGACTACTTTCTGACCAATGGACTGGATTTAGCCAATCATGTTTAGACTTATGGACTCATTCTGTTTTATTTGCAAAGGGAGTTTTCAATCATTAGTATAACCGCCTTGAAGCCCCCTTTCTAATGGATAGAGCCCCTTGATCTTCCACTCTGACCTTCCAGTTAACTATTTAATAAATTTTGTCTATGTTGTGTGTTCGTTTGTCTGGCAGGCAAGCAAATAAACTCAGAATTGTGTGTTTTAAATGTTTGGTTCTTTTAAAATTATTTCTATTTTTGTTGAATTTCTCAGCCATATTGTGAATTGTTTTTCTGATTTTGTTAAATTATCTAGCTGTATGTTTTGTATCTCACTGAGTTTCCTTCAGATCATTATTTTCAACTCTTTTTCCAGCAATTTTTTGATTTCCTTTTTACTGGGGTCTGTTACTATACAGTTATTATGTTCCTTTGGTGGTGTCATATTTCCTTGCTTTATCATGTTTCTTGTGCGTCTGTGTTGATGTCTATGCACCCGGTAAGACAATTGCCTCTTCCAAACTTTTTTTTTTTTTTTTGAGACAAAATCTCACTCTGTTGCCCAGCCTCCCAGTTTCGAGTGACTGTTGTGCCTCAGCTTCTCGAGTAGCTGGCACTGCAGGCATGTGCCACCACACCCGGCTAAATTTTTTTTTTTTTTTTTTTTTGAGACAGAGTCTTTCTGTCACCCAGGCTGGAGTGCAATGGCGTGATCTCAGCTCACTGCAACTTCTGCCTCCTGGGTTCAAGCCATTCTCCTGCTTCAGCCTCCTGAGTAGCTGGGATTCTCCTGCCTCAGCCTCCCGAGTAGCTGGGATTACAGGTGCTCACCACTGCGGCTGGCTAATTATTTTTTGGTATTTTTTAGTAGAAACAGGTTTCGCCATGTTGGCTAGGCTGGCCTTGAACTCCCTGCCTCAAGTGATCTGCCTGCCTCGGACTCCCAAAGTGCCGGGATTACAGGTGTGAGCCATCATGCCTGGCTGCCTCTTCCAAACTTTCTGGAGTGGATTTTGCAGTAAAAGACTTTCACCTCTAGTTGAGTTTAGTGTGCCAGTTGGGAAGATGTAGTGACTCTGTTTCCAGATACGTGCAGTGGTATAGTCTGTGCAGCTTCTTCAGCTGCATTGAATGTCACCAATAAAAAAACACGGGCACCTTGGTGGCCTAGGCTGTTTGTGGCAGTGGTGGCAGCAGTGTAGGTTGTTAATATCCTGTGAGTTCCATGTTCAGGTGCTTGGAGTGGCTGTGGGGTGAGGGTCCTAGTCTCAGGGTCTCTCAAGCCTATTATGGCATTCGGGTCTTGGGATGCAGCTTTGCTCTCTGTGGGAAGTTTAGATGTAGGTTACCCAGAGCTAGGATCTGCAACCCTGAGGCACCCCACTAGGGGCTTGGGCCCCAAGGACTGCATTTTATAACTGTGATTCTAACTCTAGTGGGGATGGGGGACAAGGCAGAGCACTAACCTGACTCTGGCAATGAAGGGGTGCTCTAGAGGTTTGGGTCTGGGGATCAGGGTATAGCTGCGATTCAGGAACCTGAGCCAATAGAGCTCAGTGGGAACTGAGGTCCCAGGGGATGAGCCACTGTGTAGTGGTGACTCTAGACCCTGGGGTGGTGGGGCTTGGCAGTATCCCAGCCTCTGTGAGAGCAGGTGCAGTGGTAGCAAGTACCCCAGAATAATGGAGCACAGCTGTCATCTGGGACGTGGGTTGGGGCAGGAAACAGCATAGCAATGATTTTATTCTCCAGGGAGAGGGTGTCTCAGCAGCTCAGGCTCTAGGGGGATATTCCAGCCCCAGGGAAGCAGAGTGCTGGAGTTGTTTGGCTTGTAGGGTAGGGTGTCTCAGCTCAGCCACTGTTCTGTTTCCCTGGGATGCAGGGTCCTACCTCATCTCAGCCTAGAGATGCACAGCTGCTGAGATTGGCCAGGACACCGATTCCTTGGTGGGGCAATGTGCCAGTTCAGCTTAGGCCTGGGAGCATGACTGTTCTGGGCAGCCTAGGTACTATTTCCTTGGAATGCAGACAATTGCTTCAGCTTAGGTATTGGGGTGCATGATCGTTCTGGGTGGCCAATACACCATTCATTACCCGGGATGCCAGCTGCTGCATGAACTTAGGCACTGAGGAGACATGACTGCTCTGAGCAGCCAAGATACTGTTTTCCTGTGAAACAGGATACTGCTTTATTTTTATTTTATTTTATTTTGAGACTGAGTCTCACTCTGTAGCCCAAGCTGGAGTGCAGTGGCACAATCTCGGCTCCCTGCAACCTCTGCCTCCTGGGTTCAAGCGATTCTCGTGCCTCAGCCTCCCGAGTTGCTGGGATTACAGGTGCGTGCCACCACGCCCGGCTAATTTTTTGTATTTTAGTAGAGATGGGATTTCACCATGTTGCCCAGGGTGGTCTCAAACTCCTGAGGTAAGGCGATCCACCTGCCTCGGCTTCCCAAAGTGCTGGGATTGCAGGCGTGAGCCACCGCGCCTGGCCAGAAACAGGAAACTGCTTTAGCTCTGGCCTGAGGAGGAAACGGGAGGGGTAGGTGGCGTCGCTTCACCTCTGCCTGGCCCCATGGAGAAGGGTGTAACTGCTGCTCGCATTTCAGCTTGGGGATGTTGGGACACCAGGCTGGGAGGTTCAAAGGCAATTTAGCTTCAGGGATGAATGGGGATCTGTAACCACTTGCCCACAGAGCAAGTCACACCCCAGCCATAGTTCCAATTCAGCAGCATGTGGATCAGGGCGGGGGAGTGGCCAGTGCTGGCTCCTTCTTTTGGGGCAGCACAGCTGTGTGGACTCCAGGCAGCTTCCTCAGCTGGGCTTAGTGCCTATGAGGACTGCAGAGGACAGTGGTGAGGTTTGTAGGTGTCTAAAGTTGATGGGAGTTGCTAGGATCCCCTTGTTTACCTCTTTGCTGAAGGGAGAAGCTGGTTCTCAGCTGATCCCAATTAGGGGACAGAATAGTGGAGTCCTGGCATTTCCTTCCATTCTCTATGTGGTCATCCTGGGATTCTGTTACTCCTGTGGTGCACTCCAGCAGTCTCTCAGTTATTTTCATTAAAATGTCGTTGTTGGCCAGGTGCGGCGGCTCACTCCTGTAATCCCAGCACTTTGAGGCCGAGGCAGGCGGATCACCTGAGGTCAGGAGTTCGAGACCAGCCTGGCCAACATGGTGAAACCCCATCATGAACCCAGGAGGCAGAGGTTGCAGTGAACCAAGATCGCGCCACTGCACTCCAGTCTGGGCAACAGAGCAAGACTCTGTCTCAAAAAAAAAAAGTCATTGTTTATTTGTTGTTCTGGCTATCTTTGTAGGAGGAACAAGCACTAGGGGCCATCTGCTAATGTCACTTTCCATGTGGTCATCTTATAATGTCTAAAAACTGGCTTGCCCCAGTGAACCCTGGTGAGCTTCATCTTTCCATCTCAACTAGCTCATTAAAACATGTTTCTGAGCAGAGACAATATTCCCCTCACTACGTTCTACACCAAATGATTTTTATTTATTTATTTATTTATTTATTTATTTTTTTGAGTCAGAATTTCGCTCTTGTTGCCCAGGCTGGAGTAATAGCTCACTGCACTGTCCACCTCCTGGGTTCAAGCAATTCTCCTGCCTCAGCCTTCCGAGTAGCTGGGATTACAGGCAACCACCACCAGGCCCAGATAATTTTTTGTATTTTTAGTAGAGATAGGGTTTCACCATGTTGGTCAGACTGGTCTTGAACTCTCGACCTCAGGTGATCCACCCACCTCGGTCTCCCAAAGTGCTGGAATTACAGGCGTGAGCCACCGCACCTGGCCACAAATGATTTTAAATTTAATTTTAAAATGTGACCATATGAAGCTGGGCAGGTTGGTACACACCTATAGTCCCAGCTATTCAGGAGGCTGAGACTGGAGGATTGCTTCAGGCCAGGAGTTTGAGTCCATCCTGGGCAACATAGGAAGATGCTCATCTCAAAAAAAAAAAAAAAAAAAAAAAAGTGATTATGAAAATTGTTAAGACATTTTAAAAAAAGAATAGTGAAGGCCAGGTGTGGTGGGCTTGAGCTTGTAATCCCAGCACTTTGGGAGGCCGAGGCAGGAGGATCACCTGAGCCCAGGAGTTTGAGATGAGCCTGGGTAACATAGTGAGAAACTTTCTCTACAAAAATACAAAAATTAGCTTGGTGTGGTGGTATGCACCTGTAGTCCCAGCTACCTGGGAGGCTGAGGTGGGAGGATTGCTTGAGCCTAGGAGGTCGAGGATGCAGTAAGCCTTGTGCCAGCCTGGGTGACAGAGTGAAACGCTGTCTCAAAAAAAAAAAAAAAGGGGGAGACTTACCTTAACAACTTTTAAAATACGCTGTAAAGCTACTATAATTATAATTATGGTACATGTAAAGGATATAAACAAATCATTGAGGCAAAACAGAGTGAGAAAACCTAATATTTTCTTTCCAAATCCCAGTGAATGATCTTATGATCTTATACATCCCCTGGATTAGGCAACTTTCCTTGGGGTCACTGATCTATGGCACAGAGAGAAAAAATTGCCTATCAAGTGATTACAACTGTTTGGGAACGATGCCTAATTTGAGAGTGCACATATTCATTTCTATCTTGATTTTATGCTTTCATTAATTGACTGATGAGAAGACATTGTATCGTTGCATTTTTGGGATCTTCCTTCTATTAACTAATTCACTCTTTAATTAAAATGAGCAAACTGGTAGCATAAACTAAGTTAAACCCACACCAGCTATCTTTAAACTTGAAAACATTAAAATTTGACATACATCTTAAGAATTTTTCATATGCAAAAACCCTGTACTTAATTTGGGGCAAAGAAAGGTTAGTGAAGTATGGAAAAGGAACTGAGTTTAATTGGTTAAGCTAAACATGAAAACAACTGCAACGGAAAATAAAAAAACTTTTGAGAGGAAATCCAAATACTGAAGAAAAATGAAGAGGGAAAGCTATTTTGAGTAGTTGGCTTTTTAGCTAGGCCTTGAAGGATGAAGAGGATCTTGGCTTAGGACGGAGAGGATTCAAACTGCTGGAAAAGCGTGAGTTTTTGTGATCTATATAAGCATAGTTTGGATTTTTTTTTTTTTTTTTGAAGAGATATGGTCTTGTTCTGTCACCCCAGCTGGAGCTGGAGTGCAGTGCTGTGATCATAGCTCACTGTAGCCTTGACCTCCTAGGCTCAAGTGATCCTTTCCAGCTCAGTCTTGCAAAGTGTTAGTGTGTCTGGAATTGGTGGGTTCATTGGTCTCACTGCCTTCAAGAATGAAGCTGAGAACACCCTGCAGTGATTGTTACAGCTCTCTAAAGTGGCATGTCTGGAGTTTGTTCCTTCTGATGTTTGGATGTGTTTGGAGTTCCTTCCTTCTGGTGGGTTCGTGGTCTCGCTGGCTCAGGAGTGAAACTGCAGACCTTCACGGTGAGTGTTACAGCTCTTAAGGTAGCATGTCTGAAGTTATTCGTTCATTCTCGGTGGGCTTGTGGTCTTTCTGTCTTCAGCAGTGAGGCTGCAGACCTTCATGGTGACTGTTACAGCTCATAAAAAGCAGTATGGATCCAAAGGGTGAGCAACAGCAACATTTATCGCAGAGAGCAAAAGAACAAAGCTTCCACAGTGTGGAAAAAGACCCAAGCGGCTCGCCACTGCTGGCTCGGGCAGCCTGCTTTTATTCTCTTATCTGGCCCCACTCACATCCTGCTGATTGGTAGAGCCGAGTGGTCTGTTTTGACAGGGCGCTGATTGGTGCGTTTACAATCCCTGAGCTAGACACAAAGGTTCTCTAGGTCCCCACCAGATTAGCTAGATACAGAGTGTGGACACAAAGGTTCTCCAAGACCCCACCAGAGTAGCTAGATACAGAGTGTTGATTGGTGCACTCACAAACCCTGAGCTAGACACAGGGTGCTGATTGGTGTGTTTACAAACCTTGGGCTAGATACAGAGTGCCGATTGGTGTATTTACAATCCCTGAGCTAGACATGAAGGTTCTCCAAGGCCCCACCAGAGCAGCTAGATACAGAGTGTCGATTGGTGGATTCACAAACCTCGAGCTAGACACAGGGTGCTGATTGGTGTGTTTACAAACCTTGAGCTAGATACAAAGTGCCCATTGGTGTATTTACAATCCCTGAGCTAGACATAAAGGTTCTCCACGTCCCCACAAGACTCAGGATCCCAGCTGGCTTCACCCAGTGGATCCCGCACCGGAGCTGCAGGTGGAGCTGCTTGCCAGTCCCGCGCCCTGCGCTCGCACTCCTCAGCCTTTGGGTGGTCGAATGGACTGGGCGCCGTGGAGCAGGGGGTGGCACTCGTAGGGGAGGCTCGGCCCCATAGCAGCTCATGGAGCGGGTGGGAGGCTCAGGCATGGCGGGCTGCAGGTCCCGAGCTCTGCCCTGTGAGAAGGCAGTTAAGGCCCGGCGAGAAATCGAGCGCAGCGCCGGTGGGCTGGCACTGCTGGGGGATCCAGTACACCCTCCGTAGCCGCTGGTCCGGGTGCTAAGTCACTCATTCCCCCGGGCCGGCAGAGCTGGCCGGCTGCTCCGAGTGCGGGGCCCGCCAAGCCCGCGCCCACCCGGAACTCCAGCTGGTCCGCAAGCGCCGCACGCAGTCCCGGTTCCCGCTCGCGCCTCTCCCTCCACACCTCCCTGCAAGCTGAGGGAGCCGGCTCCACCCTCGGCCAGCCCAGAAAGGGGCTCCCACAGTGCAGCGGTGGGCTAAAGGGCTCAAGTGCCGCCAAAGTGGGAGTCCAGGCAGAGGAGGCGCCGAGAGCGAGTGAGGGCTGTGAGGACTGCCAGCACGCTGTCACCTCTCATTAGGATTACAGGCATGAGCCCATTAAAGATATTAAAGGCTGGGTGTGGTAATTCACGTCTGTAATCCCAGCACTTTGGGAGGTAGAAGTGGGTGGATCACTTGAGCCTAGGAGTTCAAGACCAGCCTGGGCAACATGATGAAACTCTGTCTCTACAAAAAATACAAAAATTAGCTGGGCATGGTGGCATGGGCCTATGGTCTCAGCTACTTGGTAGGCTGAGGTGGCAGGATTACTTAAGCCCAGAAGGTCAAGATTGCAGTGAGCCACGATCATGCCACTGTACTCCAGCCTGGGCAAGAGAGTGGGACCCTGTCTAAAAAAAAAATAATAATAAAAAAGATCTTAAAGTAGTACAGTGAGTCTGGAGAGAGGGTATGATCAGTAAGCAGGCCCAAAAAGGTAGCTTGGAGTCAAATCAAGCTGGACTTAAGATGGTTTTAATGGAACTAGAGCTTGCCTTTTTTTTTTTTTTGAGGCAGAGTCTCGCTCTGTCACCCAGGCTGGAGTGCAGTGGCACAATGTCAGCTCACTGCAACCTCCGCCTCTCGGGTTCAAACGATTCTCCTGCCTCAGCCTCCTGAGTGGCTTGCATTATAGGCATCTGCCACCATGCCCAGCTAATTTTTTTGTAGTTTTAGTAGAAATGAGATTTCACCATGTTGGCCAGGTTGGTCTTGAACTCCTGATCTCAAGTGATCTGCCTGCCTTGGCCTCCCAAAGTGCTGGGATTAAAAGTGTGAGCCACCCCGCCCTGCCTAGAGCTTGCCTTTGAAGTCAGATAGACTCATGGCCTGGTGCTGCCACTCACCTACTGTCTGACTTTGAGCAATTTTCTCAAACTTCTTTTCTTCATTTATAAAATGGATATGAAAATGTTTATCTTACAAATTGTTCCAATTTGTAAGATGAGATAATGCATGTAAAAGACATTCTACATAGTAGACATATATGCAGAATGGGAAAAGTGAGAGGTTAGAGGCAGGGAGATTAGGTTTCGAAACTGATAATAAAGTTGGCTATTGATGAAAATGAATCATAACATATAATTAAGCTGTGCCAGGACTGGGCAAGTTGGCTCAGGCCTGTAATCCCAGCACTTTAGGAGGCCAAGGCAGGTGGATCATGAGGTCAGGAGTTCGAGACCAGCCTGGCCAATATGATGAAATCCTGTCTCTACTAAAAATACAAAAATTAGTCGGGTGTGGCGGTGCGCGCCTGTAGTCCCAGCTACTCGGGAGGCTGAGGGAGGAGAATCGTTTGAACACAGGAGGTGGGGGTTACAGTGAGCCAAGATCATGCCACTGCACTCCAGCCTGGGTGACAGAGCGAGACTTTGCCTCAAAAAAAAAAAAAAAAGCTGTGTCTGGTTTGTTTTTCCTGCATAGTAAGGAAGAAGGAGGAAGAAGTCAAAGAACAGGTGAATTGAAACAATATAGGGGTAGAAAGTATCTCTGAGAGAAAAGCTACTTACCTTTACTGAGCACTTGTCCAAAACATCAATTATCTTGCCATTCAAAGATGTTCTTTCTCCTGCATTCCTAATATCAGCTAATGCCATTAGTCCCAACACCCTAAGCTAGTATTCATCCCCCATATTTCAGCAGTCACTATAAAACATATCTCTAATATGTCACTTCCATTCTGCCTTCATCAAGCCAATTCAAACCCATATCTTCTAGGTTACTGTGAAAGCTTTTTTTTTTAAATTTTTATTTCTAAAATTATGTATGTTTGAGACAGGGTCTTGCTCTCTCACTCAGGCTGGAGTGCAGTAGCACAATCTCACTACAGCTCACTGCAGCCTGAGCCTCCTGGGCTCAAGTGATCCTCCCACCTCAGCGAGACTTCGTCTCAAAAAACAAACAAACACAAAAAAACCCCACATGGTTTTAACTCATTTAACACACACACACACACACACACACACACACACACGACTAAACTTCACAGTTAATTTCTTAGGTTTTTTTTTTTTTTTTTGAGACGGAGTCTAGCTCTGTCGCCTAGGCTGGGGTGCAGTGGTGTGACCTTGGCTCACTGCAACCTCTGCCTCCAGGGTTAAAGCAATTCTCTGCCTCAGCCTCCTGAGTAGCTGGGATTCCAGGCACCCACCACCACGCCTGGCTAATTTTTGTATTTCTGGTAGAGATGGGGTTTTACCATCTTGGCCAGTCTGGTCTTGAACTCCTGACCTTGTGATCCACCTGCTTCGGCCTCCCAAAGTGCTAGGATTACAGGCATGAGCCACTGCGCCCGGCCAATTTCTTAGTTTTTACCTAATTCCCTTTTTCTGTTCCAGGATCCCATGTAGGCTGTCACACTACATTTAATTGTCCTGTCTTCTTAGGCTCCTCCTGGCTGTGATGGTATCTCAGACTTTACTTGATTTTGATGTCTGACATGTTTGAGGAGTTTCCTAAGGTGTATTGTAAGCCTGATGTTTTTCTCATAATTAGACTGGGGTTATGGGTTTGGGGAGGAAAATCACATTGGTGAAGTGCCATTTGTATCACATGGTGTCAATGGTACATACTGTCTACATGACTTATCACTGTTGATGTTGACTTTGATCACCTGAAGTCGTGTTTGTCAAGTTTCTCTACTACAAAGTTACATTTTCCCTTTTCCATACTTTTTAGAAGGAAGTCACTGTGCGGCACACCTCATGCTTTATGAGTGAGGAGTGATGCTCCCTTTCATATTATATTTTTACTTTTTTTTTTTTTTTTTTGAGACGGAGTCTTGCTCTGTTGCCCAGGCTGGAGTGCGGTGGCGCAATCTCGGCTCACTGCAAGCTCCGCCTCCCGGGTTCACGCCATTCTCCTGCGTCAGCCTCCTGAGTAGCTGGGACTACAGGCGCCCGCCACCACGCCTGGCTAATTTGTTTTGTATTTTTAGTAGAGACGGGGTTTCACTGTGTTAGTCAGGATGGTCTTGATCTCCTGACCTTGTGATCCGCCCACAGTGCTGGGATTACAGGCGTGAGCCGCCACGCCCGGCTATTTTTTTTTCTTTAGACGGAGCCTTGCTCTTGTTCAGGCTGGAGTGCAATGGTGCAATCTCAGCTCACTGCAACCTCCGCCTCCTGGGTTCAAGCCATTCTCCTGCGTCAGCCTCCCGAGTAGCTGGGATTACAGGCACGTACCACCATGCCTGGCTAATTTTTGTATTTTTAGTAGAGACGGTTTCACCATGTTGGCCAGGCTGGTCTCAAACTCCTGACCTCAGGTGATTCGCCCGCCTTGGTCTCCCAAAGTGCTGGGATTACAGGCATGAGCCACCGCACCCGGCCTTTACTACATTTTAGAATAAGCTTATTTTCTCAAGTTTGTGTGTGTTTTAAAGAATGATCTCACCTGGCTGGGCGCAGTGGCTCACGCCTGTAATCCCAGCGCTTTGGGAGGCCGAGGCGGGTGGATCACTTGAGCCCAGGAGTTGAAGACTAACCTGGCCCAAATGGTGAAACCCTGTGTCTACTAAAAATACAAAAAATTAGCCTGGCATGGTGACACACGTCTGTAATCCCAGCTACTTGGGAGGCTGCGGCATGAGAATCGCTTGAACACAAGAGGTGGAGGTTGTAGTGAGCCAAGATCGTGCCACTGCACTCCAGCCTGGGCAACAGAGTGAAGCTGTGTCTCAAAAAAAAAGAATGATCTTTCCTGTCTATATACTGAATCTGTGTCAGGGATGCCCCAATCTTTAGTCAAGAGCTACATTTTATCACCTTAAAGGCTGGAGATCACCAGATAAGGGGGAAACAAACAGCAAAGTATCAGAGCTGCCCAGAAAGGAGGAATGCCACTCCTGCAGTTTTTCCTTTTCTGCTGAAAATTCAAAACTAAGTCAAGTATAACTGTGGCAGCCACTGTACAGTTCTATGCAGTTCTTCTGAACAAGATTTTGAGACTGACTTTTTTTTTTTTTTTTGAGACAGAGTCTCGCTCTGTCACCCAGGCTGGAGTGCAGTGGCGTGATCCTGGCTCACTGCAATCTCCGCCTCCTGGGTTCAAGCGATTCTTCTGCTTCTGCCTCCCGAGAAGCTGGGACTACAGGCGCCCATCACCACGCCTGGCTAATTTTTGTATTTTTGTATTTTTTTTTTTTTGAGACGGAGTCTCGCTCTGTCGCCCAGGCTGGAGGGCAGTGGCGCAATCTCAGCTCACTACAAGCTCTGCCTCCCGGGTTCACGCCATTCTCCTGCTTCAGCCTCCCAAGTACCTGGGACTACAGGTGCCCACAACCACGCCCAGCTAATTTTTTGTATTTTTACTGGAGACGGGATTTCACCGTGTTAGCCAGGATGGTCTCGATCTCCTGACCTCGTGATCCCCCGCCTCGGCCTTCCAAAGTGCTGGGATTACAGGCGTGAGCCACCGCGCCCGGCTTATTTATTTATTTATTTATTTTGAGGCAGAGTCTCACTCTGTTGCCAGGCTGGAGTGCAGTGACGCAATGTCAGCTCACTGCAACCTTCAACTCCCGGGTTCAAGTGCTTCTCCTGCCTTAGCCTCCCGAGTAGCTGGGACTACAGGCTTGTGCCACCAAGCCCAGCTAATTTTTTTGTATTTTTAGTAGAGATGGGGTTTCACCACGTTGGCCAGGATGGTCTCAATCTCCTAACTTCATGATCCGCCCGCCTTGGCCTCCCAAAGTGCTGGGATTACAGGTGTGAGCTACACGCCCCGCCTAAGTTTTCTATCTTTAGTAGAGATGGGGTTTCAAAATGTTAGCCAGGCTTGTCTTGAACTCCTGACCTCAATGATCCACCCACCTCGGCCTCCCAAAGTGCTGGGATTACAGGCATGAGCCACCGCGCCCGGCTGAGACTGACAGATTCTTATGCAGACAGTTTTCCTGGATTTGAAGCCTAGCTCCTTCCCTTTCTGGTCTTTGTGATCTTTTTTTTTTTTTTTTTTTTTTTTTTTGACAGTCTCACTCTGTTGCCCAGGCTGGAGTGCAGTGGCACGATCTAGGCTTACTGCAACCTCCACCTCCTGGGTTTAAGCGATTCTCCTGCCTCAGCCTCCTGAGTAGCTGGGATTACAGGCGTGTGCCACCACACCCAGCTAATTTTTGTATTTTTCGTAGAGATGGGGTTTCACCATGTTGGCCAGGCTGGTTATGAACTCCTGATCTCGGCTTCCCAAAGTGCTGGGATTACAGGTGTGAGCCACCGTGCCTGGCCCTTTGTGATCTTCTGTTGTTGTTGTTTTTTGAGATGGAGTCTTGCTCTGTCACCCAGGCTGGAGTGCAGTGGCACGATCTCGGCTCACTGCAAGCTCTGCCTTCCGGGTTCATGCCATTCTCTCGCCTCAGCCTCCCAAGTAGCTGGGACTACAGGCGCCCACCACCATGCCTGGCTAATTTTTTGTATTTTTTAGTAGAGATGGGGTTTCACCGTGTTAGCCAGGATGGTCTCGATCTCCTGACCTCGTGCTCCCAAAGTGCTGGGATTACAGGCGTGAACCACGGTGCCCGGCCTTGTTGTTGTTTTTTTGTAAGCTCATATTAAGTGATACTCTGTAATCCTGACAGATCCTTAACCCCTTTGAGACACAATTTCCGCATCTGTAAAATGGGGTTAATGACAGTGTCTACCTCACAGGGCTGTTGGAATGATTATGTGAGCAATGCATATTAAATCCCTTACATTTAATAAATAGCAATGCAGTGGAAATATTTTTTATATATTTTTTTGAGACAGAATCTTACTCTGCTGCCCAGGCTGGAGTGCAGTGGTACCATCTTGGCTCACAGCAACCTCTGCCTCCCGGGTTCAAGTGATTTTCTCACCTCAGCCTCCCGAGTAGCTGGGATTACAGGCGTGGGCCACCCCACCTGGCTAATTTTTGTGTTTTTAGTAGAGATAGGGTTTCATTATGTTGGCCAGGCTGGTCTCAAACTCCTGACCTCAAGTGATCCACCCACCTCCGCCTCCAAAGTGCTGGGATTACAGGCGTAAGTCACTGTGCCTGGCTTGAGACTCCATCTCTTAGAAAAAAAAAAAAAAAATCAGGGCTGGGCATCGTGACACCTGTGATCCCAGCACTTTATGAGGTTGTGGCAGGAATACTGCTTGAGCCCAGGAGTTCAAGACTAGCCTGAGGAACATAGCGAGGCCTTATCTCTATTACGACAAAAAGAAAAGAAAAGAAAAAAAAAAAAAAAAAGCTTGGAAGTCAGTATTTTGTTATAAGCCAGAGTGTAGAGAGTATGGCTCTGTGACCTAAGGGTAGTTCCTCTGAGACAAGAAAGGAAGGAGAAAGGAGAAATTAGGGAGGGGGAAGAGAAAAATGGGGCAGAGAGAATCAGGAGGTTGAGACTGGGGTAAGGATGTATCTTAGTCCATAAGAGGAGACCCAGTGCTCTACACCTTGGGCTGAGGTGAGGAGTTAGATATGAGCAACACTTTTTGAGGCTCAGATAGTTTGAGAGAGAAATTGAGACAGCATAGGCTGGTGCTTTGCTTCTTCCTATTGGCACCCTTCCAGTCTTGTTTTGACAGAATGGAAGGAATAGATAGGCTCCAGAAAACATTCAGTTGGTCCTCTTTGAGGCATGGATGAGTTCCTGAAAGACCCATGAGTAATGCAAGAAGAAAGGTGAAATTTTTTTGAGATGGAGTCTTGGTCTTGTCACTCAGGCTGGAGTACAATAGCGCGATCTTGGCTCACTGCAACCTCCGCCTCCCGGGTTCAAGTCATTCTCCTGCCTCAGCCTCCCGAGTAGCTGGAATTACAGGTGCCTACCATCACACCTGGCTAATTTTTTTTGTATTTTTAGTGGAGACGGGGTTCCATCATGTTGGCCAGGCTGGTCTTGAACTCCTGACCTCAGGTGATCCACCTACCTCGGCCTCCCAAATGCTGGGGTAACAGGCACGAGCCACCGTGCCTGGCCAAGAAAGCTGAAAATTAAGAGTCACTGTGACTGTCCAGGTTCACGACAGCATAGGCACGGTACAGGGGTGCCATGGCAGGGGCTGTGTGCTGGACAGCCCAGAGCTGGAGCCAGGGGCAAGGGCAGCTGAGCCTCATAAGTACCAGTGCAAGGCAAGTGGGAAAAGCTATAAGCAGAGTTTGCCAGGCAATTGTCCTGCAGAAAGTTTCCTGGAGGACAGACCATTATTGACATCAGTGGTGAGTGAGGCCAGGACAGAAGTCTATGACCAAAAATTCTATGAGAAAACTTCTCCTCAACCAGGGTCAGCAGAAACTAGCAGAAGACGACAGACTACAGGTGCTACCCTGGCCAACAGGATAACAAAAGGAACCTTCCAGACCCATCCTTAGAAGCATGGGGCTCAGGGGACAGACTTCAAGAGGGGAAAAGAAGCTCTGAGGCTGAGTTTATATTGAATATTTACCTGCAAGAGCCTAAACAGGAAGAAACTGATCAGGAATCCTTTTCTACATATCTATACCAGTTTTTGATAATTCGTGTATTTTTACATTTTATTTTTTGTTAGCTTGTTTTCCTTTTCAAACTCTTCTCTTTTAAATCCTTTTTATTTTTTAAGAGAAAACTTCTAAGTTTCATTAAATTTTTTAAATTTATTTTTTACAGAAAACTTTTAAGCTTCGTAAATCCCTTTACGTTTCTTTTTCCAGTTAGCCAGCTTTAGATTTAAAATTTCATTTTACAAGCTTCAAGAGCCTTGAACCCTTGCTTATTCTGAAACATTTGGATGTGTAACACATCTTAATAATAAACAATCCGATCTTTCAGTATCTTCAGCAAAAAAGCCTATCTTCATAAACTCCTTTTGTTGACAGTTTTATTCCTAAATCTAATTGTTAATATCTTGTGCCTTAATAAGTAAAGATGTGTCTGAATTTCCTATTTTGACCAAAGCCATAAAATATATTGGTATGCTTGTGTCTCTAATGAAGCAGATCCGCAGAGAATCAAATGAGAAAAATCCAACAAAAAATAGAGGCAGGCCAGATGTGGTGGCTCATGCCTGTAATCCTAGCATTTTGGGAAGCCAGGGCGGGAGGATCTCTTTGAGCTCAGGAATTCAACGTCAGAGACTCCTGAGAGCTCAAGAGGTCCTGAGATGGCAAGACTACGTCTTTACAAAAAATGAGAAAATTAGCTGGTTGTGGTGGCCTGCGCCTGTGGTTCTAGCTGCTAAAGAGGCTGAGGCAGGAGGATCACTTGAACCCAGGAGGCTGAGGCTGCAGTGAGACTGATCACACCACTGCACTTCAGCCTGAGCAACGGAGTGCATTTGCCTCCACCAGGAATATCAGTACAGTTTGATTACTGACTATAAGTCACACATTCAGATAATCCTAGTATTTTGACTTTTTTCTTTATTAATATCTCCTTTGTCTTCCATGGGATGTGCCTTTCCTTTTGACTCTGCTCTTTATGAATAAAGGAGTTGGATTCCCAATTCACTCAGAGGTTTCAGTTAGCTTTGCTTTGCCCCATGGCTTCAGGTATATAACTTCGTAATAGTTATGGTGGTTTTAAAATATGTCTACAAATCCTTTGACAGTCTTCTTCACAAAATGAAGAGCCTAGTTCCCCTCCCTTTCAGTGGGGGCTGGACTTAGTACCTCACTGCTGATGAACGGATTATGGTGGAAGTGAAGTGTGACTTGAGACCAGGTCATAAAAGAGGCACTGTGGCTTCTGTTTGCTGTCTTGGACCACTTGCTCTGGGGATGCCAACTGCCACATTGTGGGGACATTCAAGCACTATGGAGGGGGTCTACAGAGCGAGGAAGTAGATCCACTCTAAAAGTGGATTCTCCCAGTCTCAGTTGAGCCTTCAGGTAACTGATAACTGTAACTCTGGCTGACATCTTTACATATTTTTTTTTATTTTATGCATACACACAAACACGCATACTTTTTCTTTTTAGCCCTTGGAGAAGAAAAGGAGAGCAAGAACTCTTACTCAATTACATTTTTTTTTTTTTTTTTTTTTGAGATGAAGTCTTGCTTCGTCACCCAGGCTGGAGTGCAATGGTGTGGTCTCAGCTCACTGCAACCTCCAGCTCCTGGGTTCAAGTGATTCTCCTGCCTCAGCCTCCCGAGCAGCTGGGATTACAGGCGCCCACGACCATGCCCAGCTAATTTTTTATACTTTTATTGTTTATTTTTTGAGACGTAGTCTCACTCTGTCACCCAGGCTGGAGTGCAATGGCGCAATCTCAGCTCACTGCAACCTCTGCCTCCTGGGTTCAAGCAATTCTCCTGCCTCAGCCTCCTGAATAGTTGGGATTACAGGGCTGTGTCACCATGCCCAGCTAATTGTTGTATCTTTAGTAGAGATGGGGTTTCACTATGTTGGTCAGGCTGGTCTCGAACTCCTGACCTCAGGTGATTTGCCTGCCTGGGCCTCCCAAAATGCTGGGATTATAGGCATGAGCCACTGAGCCCAGCCTCAATTACATTTTCTTTCAATACTTTTTAATTACATGACCAGAAAGCGTTACTTTTAAAATAAGGCATAATCATGTAATTAGCTGTCTTTTTTTCAACATTATTCTAAAGCTTTTAAAATATTGTAATTTAAAAAATAATTATTGGCTGGGGCAGCATAATTTAGTAGAAGATAGTATCTTGTCCTTACTTAACCCTACAGGCTTTTTATTTTTTATTTTTTTTAGTGAGAAGAGTGGCATTATTTTACATTTTTGTAAATCTAATGTCTGACTTAATAGATGAAAGCTGGATTCCCAAAGCTGCTGTGCATTTAGTCTGTTAAAATATCACACGTGAGGTAGCCTCTGGAAAACTCCTGTCCATACTCATGAAAGAAATAGAGTGAAAAAGACAAATGATGTATTAGTATTATAAAAAGAGCTTTGACCTTGGCTATCATTGAAAGTCTGAGGACCGCCCCCTCTCCAACTACACTTTGAGAACCGCTGCTCTTGTCTCATCTCCTCATTTTATTTAGAAGGACACGGACCTCGGAAATCCAAAATGACGCAGCCTGTTAGTGGGAGGATACAGATTAGATGGTTTGTCTCACTTCTCTTGCTTAGGTTTTCGGTCAGATACTTGGGAAATATACCCTGATGGCCTGTCCTGTTCTCTGTAGCTGCAAAGACTGTTACAATATATTATCCCCGCAAAAATTTTAATAAAAAAGGAATCATCAGCAAACCTGATAAATTCTACAACAAGCATACTGTGTTTGAATTTGAGTTATGACATTTGAATTAGGATCTCTATTTGAACTGAAACACTAAGGCAAATTCTATGGCGCCCTACTCCATGCAAGTTGTTAACGACAAACTGCACAGTAAATATCACAAACACGGAAATACCACAGTGTCTGCATCTGAAATATAATTCAGTGACAGATTCCAAAAAAAAATTAAAAAAATCTTATCTTCTATATCCTGTGGGACCAAAAATATTTTCTCATGTACTGGCTGAAAGGGTAGTGGGCATATTAAGAGACTGCAAATAGGCTGGCAATTGTAGGGAGCTTTTTAGATTAAATAGAGTTGTTCTGAGATGTAGATATTTTTCATTCTCTAACCAGACCTTATTTTTGCCTTTTTTAAAAAAAAATCAAAGAATCTTCAGGCCGGGCGCAGTGGCTCACGCCTGTAATCCCAGCACTTTGGGAGGCCAAGGCGGGCAGATCACAAGGTCAGGAGATCGAGACCATCCTGGCTGACACGGTGAAACCTTGTCTCTACTAAAAAATACAAAAATTAGCTGGGCATGGTGGTGGGCGCCTGTAGTCCCAGCTACTCAGGAGGCTGAGGCAGGAGAATGGCTTGAACCCGGGAGGCAGAGCTTGCAGTGAGCCGAGACCGGCCACTGCACTCCAGCCTGGGCGACAGAGTGAGACTCCGCCTCAAAAAAAAAAAAAAGAATCTTCATGGTCACCTAGCGATGATTTCCTTTGTATCCTATTAGATGTTACAAATCTTCTTTAAATGGATCGTAGCCTTGTTCCTTAAAGAACGTAGTGTCGGCCAGGCGTGGTGGCTCATGCCTGTAATCCCAGCACTTTGGGAGGCCAAGGTGGGTGGATCACCTGAGGTCAGGAGATCGAGACCAGCCTGGCCAACATGGTGAAACCCTGTCTCTACTGAAAATACAAAAATTAGCTGGGTGTGGTGGCGGGCACCTGTAATCCCAGCTACTAGGGAGGCTGAGGCAGGAGAATTGCTTGAACCCTGGGGGCAGAAGTTGCAGTGAGGCTGAGATTGCGCTGCTGCACTCCAGCCTACACGAGAGTAAGACTTTGTCTCCAAAAAAAAAAAAAAAAAAAAAAAAAAAGGAACGTAGTGCCTAGAAAAGCTGGTCTAGCAGACGGCATTATTCCCAAGGAAGCTACTCCCAACTGTTGGTTTTTTTCAGGCTCTACATTCTTTGGTTTTGAATCATGTGGCATAATGGAAATTATATATATATATATATATTTTTTTTTTTTTTTTTTTTTTTTTTTTGAGATAGAGTCTCACTCTGTTGCCCAGGCTGGAGTGCAGTGGCGTGATCTCGGCTCACTGCAACCTCCACCTCCCGGGTTTGAATGATTCTCCTGCCTCAGCCTCCTGAGCAGCTGGGACTATAGGCGTGCACCACCATGCCCGGGTAAGTTTTGTATTTTTAGCAGAGATGGGATTTCACCATGTTGGCCAGGCTGGTCCCGAACTCCTGACCTCAGGTGATCCACCTGCCTTGGCCTCCCAAAGCGCTGGGATTACAGACGTGAGTCACTGCGCCCGGCCAGAATTTATCTATTCTTAATGAAAGAACTCACAACCGAGGCAAAATGAACTTTTTAGGTAAGGAGCTGCTTTTTTTTTTTTTTTTTTTTTTTTTGAGATGGAGTCTTGCTCTGTCGCCCAGACTGGAGTGCAGTGGCGTGATCTCGGCTCACTGCAAGCTCCACCTCCTGGGTTCACGCGATTCTCCTGCCTCAGCCTCCCGAGTAGCTGGGACTACAGGCGCCGCCATCAAGCCCGGCTAATTTTTTTGTATTTTTAGTAGAGACGCGGTTTCACCGTGTTAGCCAGGATGGTCTCGATCTCCTGACCTCGTGATCCGCCCACCTCGGCCTCCCAAAGTGCTGGGATTACAGGCGTGAGCCACGTCGCCCAGCCAGGAGCTGCTTCTTTTCTGGTTTCCCTTTGAGCAAATTCTTTCCAGTTCTCACCAAACCCCCAAAGGCCCCCAGGAAGGGAAACTGGCAGCTCCAAATGACCCTTTCCTCTCCCCAGGAGGACACAATGAGAATGCTGCAGCTGGTCCCCATGACTCCCACTCCTGTGCTAGCGGACGCAGTTCGAGCCGTAGCCCCAAAGGTATTTTTATAAACAGCTATTCTCCCCATAAGTCGGTGCCATAGAAACACAAGGTTATATTTTTGTTATGATAAAATGTGTGTCCAAAAACTATCAACAAATGTGCTGACACTGGCACTACTGTATCTTGGAAATAACTGTTAAACACATGCCTCTAACTCTCCAATAAAATATGAACTAAACCCAGTTTGTTCTTAGTCATAATGACAGATGACAATGTCACTGACCTGAATACCACTGGTCTCATACTAGCAAGAGGAATGATGATTTGTTCATTTTCTCTTGAACTATACGTTTAGTTGTCATCTTTTATTTAAATATTAAATAGCTGCTTTCCACTTCCCAAACCCATTCTCTAAAATTCAAATAAGTTTTGGGATTTTTTTGGGTCCCTTCTCTCCTTTCCCATGGAACTCTATACAGGGCACCCTTCTGTCCAGAACAGGCTAGATCTAATTCTTTGTAACTTCAGAAAGGGTATTGTGAACAGCTGAGATTTTTCTGAAAAGATGCTGTAATAATTGTTTTTAAATAAGATTTTTATAATAAGCTACTTTTAGCCACTATTTCACAGGTGGCAGGGTACTGCTGCTTGCTGTAAAGATTTAAGCATCGTGAACAGGTATAACACACCATGTCCTACCTGCTCCAGATAGCCCCCCTCCACCACGATGGGATTGGTCTGTCTGGAACTTGTGACACTCACCACACCCTTCTGTCCTCTGAAGGTGCCTAGTTTTCAAAAGGCCTGTCTGTCCATGACATGTCACCAGGCTGAACACAGAGACTGACAAGCGAAGTGTGGCCTGCATCCTGGCTTTGCTACAGCTCCATCAGTAACTTCTCTGCCTCAGTTTTCTACTTGTCAAACACTTAATGACCACAGTACCTATGGGTCTGTTGCTGTGAGGATTAAATGAGATAATGAATATCAAATGTTTAGAACAGTGCCTAATACACAGTTGACCCCTAATAAATGCTGATATTATTATTTTTAACACTGCAGAGACATGCACACATAGAAATATGGTAAGTTAGATTTGAAACTAAAGGCAGGGTTATTAAAGACAAATGATTAGTGTTTTAAAATCTGAATTACACAGTTTGTATTCTAAAACACATACACACACACACACACAGAAATGTGTACCAATTAAACACAATAAAGTTCAAAGGGGATATAAATTACAGTTTTTCTTTTTTTAACAGACAATAGTAAAATACTACAGTCAGCTCACTATACACACAAATCATGAACAGCAGCTTTTCATTAAGGTTTCCAATATCTTACTCATTTACCAACTCGAAGAATTTAAAAGAAAAAAGGTACAGCAGGCTCTACCCATTCTCTCTCTCTTGCTCTCACAACACATTTATAGCTGTACATCCAGACCGATTATACAGGCATCTACAGAATAGGTACAGAAAGGAATTTTGTAAAAATTTCCATACACATAATCCTTCAATGTCTCCATTTGTAGGAGAATTTTACAAATGAAGACACGACAGCAGGGTCATCTGTATTCGATCATCTCCTGCAAACATGGTAAAGGGTGAACCATTGAACTTCATAGCTCAGTCCATCTCCTCAGCATTTTCCAGAATCAAGCAAAATAACAACAGCAAAACCACGCCACAGTGAAACCTACCAATCCAAAACAAAACCACACACACAGAAACACACAAAAATCAACACCTCCCACCCCACCCACCCCACCACTACTCCTGGCTGTCCTTGTGTTTTCTTACAGTAATACGGCTCTCTTCATTCCACCTGCCCAGCTGGGCTGAGCCACGGTCCAGGCAACTGTGGAGTCAGGACCCCAGTCATTGTCAACAGTTATAATACAATGTCAAGTCAGCAGGTGGAGGGGCAGGTGGAAGACCAAAGAATATAGCTGTGAGATTTCTCAGTGTGCTTATGAAACAAAGGACAGAGAATGGCAGCACGTGGCTTGGTAGCCAAGGGAATTATGGCACCAAACTTGCAGTCAAACATACATGTTCACACAAAAGAGTGGACAGCAAAAATGTTGTCTTATGTAAGTTCTTTGGTTATAAAGAACAGCATTCTATAACCTTTTCTGCAAAGAGGGATTTGCAAGCTCATTCTTAGGCAATAAAATATTTTTCATCTGCTCATGTATAAGAGATCGCCCAAGTTGCTTTGTAACGAAGTCCAGTACCTTATGATTTTCTACAAATCACCTTTATCTGCATTTTAGTGTGCAGCCTTGTCTGTCTCCAGACATACTATAGATACACATTTCATATACATAATATATATTATTTATAAAAAACAGATTAGAGCATTGACTCCAGATTCTACAGTAAGAACTGATTAAAATTGTACAAGAATAAAGTCTGTTGGAATCTGTAGAGGTTTCTATACAGTGGAGGTGTGTAGTAAGTGCAAAAAAAAATACTGTCACTTAGTTAATCCAGGATTTTCAGTTCTCTTGCTTTCTGGAAAAAGCAGAGGCTGTTGATTCACCCAAGTGACAAAGTGCCGCTTCTCCCACTGGGGAGGGGAAAGGAGGTGGCCCAGGAAGTGCACGGTGTGGATTCTCCAGCTTCTGGTCTGAGGTCCAGCCAGGCGGCAGCATGTTTTAGAGATGGGGCTGGTGCTTGCCCAAGGTGACCAGGCGAACAAAGACGCCAAGCTGTGGCCTGAGGAGGGGTGCTTGCTGCTCTCACCGTGAGGTTGTGCCTCCCTGGAATGCAGAGGCTGGTGAGTTCATGCTTCTCATCCCCACCTCCCCACCCCACCCACAGCACCTACTCTCAGCCCAGTCCACACCCATCACAAGAAAGGGGCTCTTCCTGAAGGGACCCACAGGATTGGTTTTATTATGGAATCCAGTGCTGGAATCCACATTGTAAAAGCCCTGAGGTGATGTTTCAAGGAAAAGTAATGACAGCAACAACCAAAGTAAAAATTAAGGAAAAAAAGTGACTTCTGGATGTGCAGTCTAAGTCATTTCAGGGGTTTGAACAAAGTCAAACTTATGGTTCTCAGAAAAAATTTTAAACTGTCAAAACAACTTATTAAAACCAATGTAGCAGATACATTAAATAAAAAAACATTTAAATTTTTGTAGAGACAGAGTCTCGTTATGTTGCCCACGATGGTGTCAAACTCCTGGGTTCATGCGATCTTCCTGCTCTGGTCTCCCCAAAGTGCTAGGACTACGGGCGTGAGCCACTATGCCTGGCCGCCAAAATTTTTTTTTTTTGAGACAAGAGTTTAGCTCCTGTTGCCCAGGCTGGAATGCAATGGCACAATCTCAGCTCACTGCAACTTTCACCTCCCGGGTTCCAGCGATTCTCCTGCCTCAGCCTCCCGAGTAGCTGGGATTATAGTCATGTGCCACCACTGCCGGCTAATTTTGTGTTTTCAGTAGAGACAGGGTTTCTCCATGTTGGTCAGGCTGGTCTCAAACTTGTGACCTCAGGTGATCCGCCCGCCTCAGCCTCCCAAAGTGTTGGGATTACAGGTGTGAGCCACTGCGCTCCGCTAAAAACTCTTTAAAGGAGAAAAATCTCCATAATCCCATCATCTTGATATAACATGTTTGTAAATTTCACTTTAAACCATGATCTTTGGGAGGAACGTACTATTCTGGAAACTTTCCAATCCTTACCTTTTCCTGTTGGGTTCTAAATAATCTAGGCAATGAAAAAAGAAGGGGGTTGTTGCTCCTCTTCCCTCTTCTATGGGCAGTGCTTCCCACAGTATGGCCCTCAGATAACCTGTCTCCTATTACTCTATGGGGATGCGAGGGGATGGGGAGGAAGGAAGGGTTTGTGAATACCTTATTTCCCCTGCTGCACACTGTATAAAGCAAAATCTTAGGGCTGGATGGCAGTGACTCCTGGGAATTTGAATTTTTTAAAAATTTTAATTTTTAAAATTATTTAAACAGAGATAGGATCTTGCTCTGTTGTCCAGACTGGTCTTGAGCTCTTGGGCTCAAGTGATCTTCCCGCCTCAGCCTCCAGAATAGCTGGAACTACAGGTGCAAGCCACTAAGCCCAGGTGAATTTGAATTTTTTTTTTTTTTTTTGAGACGGAGTCTTGCTCTGTTGCCCAGGCTGGAGTGCAGTGGTGCGATCTTGGCTCACTGCAACCTCCGCCTCCTGGGTTCAGGTGATTCTCCTGCCTCAGCCTCCCGAGTAGCTGGGACTACAAGCATGTGCCACCATATCCGGCTAATTTTTGTATTTTTAGTAGAGATGGGGTTTCACCATTTAGCCAGGCTGGTCTCGAACTCCTGACATCTGGCAATCCACCTGCCTCGGCCTTCCAAAATGCTGGGATTACAGGCATGAGCCACCATACTCGGCCATGAATATGAATTTTTAAGAGGCCTGCCACACCCTCCTTGCCCCTAGAGTTTGTAGCACCTTTAGGTTTGAGAAGCAAACCTAATCTTACAGTAAAGAATTAAAGAGTCTTTGACACTGGCCTTCTTGACGAACAAGGGTTGAAAAGCTGATGTATACCAGCTGTGTAGCTTCTGCTTTAATCCAGGTAAAGAAAGTTGAAGACCTAAACAAATGCATGTATTGCTTGCAAGAATGGTGGTGAGTGACTCTATCATTATTCTTATGTCGGGGAAGGAAGTCTTTTTCTTGTCAGAGATGACTGTTTAGGTTTTGGCAGTTCAGTAATGAGTATGCTGTATAAATGACCATACATTGAAATTTTAAGGGCTGTTATGAAAAGCAGGGGCAAAAGCCACATCAATGGAGTAACTTGCTCGCAAAACAAAGGGATAGAGTAGCAGCATGATTATTTTACTTTTACCAAGCCTCTTTCTAGCTCTGTCAGTTCTTTATTTTGCTAAGCCATGACTCTCCCATGCCTTTTACAGCAAGTTGGGGGACCAAACAAATGAATGTGAATGGGAATAAATGGTGGTACTTCAGAGCAGAATGCTCAGAAGCAGAACATCTCTTATTTATGTAATTTGTGATTTTCCTTAGTAATAGTGGCAAAAACTCATTTTGTTCCCGTATGAAAATTAACCAATATTAGTCAGGCACAGTGGCTCATGCCTATAATCCCAACACTTTGGGAGGCCAAGGGGGATGGATCACCTGAGGTCAGAAGTTTGAGACCAGCCTGGCCAACATGGTGAAAATATAAAAAAATTAGCCAGATGTGCTGGCACGTGCCTGTAGTCCCAGCTACACGGGAGGCTGAGGCAGGAGGATCACGTGAGCCAGGGAGGTGGAGGCTGCAATGAGCCAAGATCGTGTCACTGCACTGCAGCCTGGGTGACAGAGTGAGAGCCACACTCCATCTCAAAAAAAAAAAAAAAAAAAAGAAAAAAGAAAATTAACCAGTATTATAAACTGAGTTACTTCCAAAGTCCAAACTTCAACTGCTGCTGGAATTTGCCTATACCGCCCCAAAGCACTTTTTCACCTACGGGCACCAAACGACTGTCTATTTCCAATTCTATGATATATATGTTTTTCTCTCCACACTTTACCATCTCTGAAATTGGGGTGTCTTACAACTGTTGATATGACAGAGTTTAATTGGCAGTATTTTTTCTTAATGATACATAAAATAATGGTTCATATAATAATCAAAGGAATCACAGATTTGATGAAATATGGTAGATGCTACCAGAACACTTTGGGAAAACTGGTAACTAAACATCCCAGGGAATGAATATGAGATTGATCCTTATCCATCTGAACACTTCATTCAACACCAACCCATGTGCCAGGTAAAAAAATCCACTGGTCTTATAATTTCACAATTGCGTTCTAGTTCCCAAAACAGACTTGCTCTCCGACAGAGACAGCTGTGCAGGAAGTGAGCCTGCTTCTCTGTGGGCTCATCTTTGCTGTCACAAACAACTGGATGAATCTTTCCTACCAAGTTGTTGCGGTGAAGGGCCTCTGGGGTTGACATACAGTTAGACATACTCATTGACAGCACAGAACCCAAAAGGCTGCCTCTGGAATTATTACCTGGTCATTCTCTAACTTGGAATGCAGCTGGCTGGGGTGGTGGAGCCCATCGGAGACAGTCTTGCCGCCTGTTTTATTTGGTAGACTCCTCCTACTGGAAAGCTCTCCAGCAGAAGAATCTGTCAAACCATCAAAATCTTTTCCCTCTGACACTCCCATAAATTCTGTGAAAGAATGGTCTTCAAGGATGTTGGTGGTGTGTTCTACCGTCACCTCCCTGGGGCAGAATCCCCTGGCTGGCTGGCTAATTTTGCTGGGGCAGGCATCTAGTTCTGAACATGAGCCAGTCCTGCACAGTGATTTGGAGTTTTTCTCAGGGATGCTCTGGGATGATGGGCTCCCTTTGGCTAAGGCACTGTTTTCCTTGAGTGGCACCACAATTATCTTGTCCTTTACCAAGCCTTTTTCGACTTCTGTCAACTCTTTGTTTGAGGACGGCCTGAAATCATGCACAAGCGATGGTGTGGAGTGCTCGGTGGAGTCTGCATCCTTCGTCTGAATGGCCAGCTGGTCTGAGCTGTCACTAGAAGGGACCACCATGTCAGACAGGGTGGCATTGGAGGCACTGTGGGAAAAGTAGCCACTGGTAATACTGCTGGTGGTAGGGCTACGGGACACTTCTTTCTCCAAGACCCGTGAGTTTGACAGATCTACTTTAGAGGAAAACCATTCCCTGTTCTCCAAGCTGGCATTGTAAACACTGAAGTCAGCAAACTCCACAGGTACATAAGGCTGTGAACTTATTAGCTTCCTGTTAATAGCTTCCAGCTCATTTTCTTCCTCCTCAGAGTCCTATAGAAGTGAAGCAAAAGTCAGTCATTAGCTCCTTGTAGCAACTGTACTGTTGAGACAAGTTTTAAATACTTGGCTGTTAAAGGCATTCACATTCACATGGTGTTCAGTGTTTTCTTTTTGTCTTTCCAAATTTGGCCAGATCTTGTCACCTATTGTAGATATAGGTGTATCAGTATTCTCAGAGACCTGTGAATATAAACCCCTTATCATCTAATATGAAGGGGATTTAGTTCTTTTAGGCTCACTCAGTGCTAATTAGAAATCATTCCTTCCCTGGTTTAAGAGAAAGAATGGAACTGAAGTGCAGTGGACATTTTGTTAGTTATTCAAAATTAGCTTTTAGTTGTGATGTTTTCTCTTTTCTCATTAAATGAGCAGAGAAACAGGCAGAAGCAGAGAAGAGCCACTCCTTTTGTCTTTAGAATCTTCACCTTGGGAAGCAAAGTGCAGGCAGTTAAGGTAATTTTTAAAAAGTTTCTCAGCTATTTTATGGGGGAGAAGAGAGTAAAACAAAGAACCCAACTGCAAAAGGGCAAAAAACACAATTTCAACACTCATTCTTATATTATGCTACATATCGTAAGGCTATAAAATACTAACAATCTGACAATTACGGTCTTCTAGGATTTTTGAGAAGTATGAGTAGAGGGTTTGGCTAGAAGGTGAAGAAGGCATAGTGAAATTTAAATGAAAATCTCCTTTGTAAAACAGTTTTCAAGCCCCTGTTCACAAAAATTGGTAAATACATGCAAAAGTGGGTGTCACCAACTCCCCAGTCTCTCTCCAAATGAATGATTCTTTTATATTTGGTAGAAAAAATGTGGGTATTTTAAGTCCAAATAAAATAAGTGATAAACTCTCTAGCCATTTCTAATTAATCTCAGAAGCACCTAATGAAATCGCAAATATTCCTTTTAAAATATGTCTTTCATTCAACAAATACACACTGAACATCCACTACATGGCAGCCATTGTCCTAAGGACTTGGAAATAGCAATGGTGAGCACAAGAAGGCATGGTCCCTCCCTCAGAGAATTACAACTTTGCGTCCTTGCTCTTAGAACAATCCTGGATGCTGCATGGATGGATAAGAATTTCATTCACAGGTAAACTTAGACACCTCAAAAACAGTTAGCTTTCTTTCATTGGTCATCTGGTTTAAAGCATCTGTACAATTAGAACTACTAGGTGCATGTAAAGACCTGGAACCGAAGCATCAGCCTTACTCATTAAGTTTGCATTTTATTAATTTACTTATTTTATTTTTAAGATTTATTTATTTATTTATTTATTTATTTATTTATTTTGAGATGGAGTTTCACTCTTGTTGCCCAGGCTGGAGTGCAATGGTGTGATCTCGGCTCACCGCAACCTCCATCTCCCAGGTTCAAGCAATTCTCCTGCGTCAGCCTCCCGAGTAGCTGGGATTACAGGCATGCGCCAGCATGCCAGGCTAATTTTGTATTTTTATAGAGACAGGGTTTCTCCATGTTGGTCAGGCTTGTCTCAAACTGCCGACCTCAGGTGATCTGCCCGTCTCAGCCTCCCAAAGTGCTGCGATTACAGGCATGAGACACCGTGCCCGGCTAGGATTTATTTATTTTTATTTATTTATTTTTTTACAGACAGGGGTCCTGCTCTGTCACTCAGGTTGGTGTGCAGTGATGCAACTGTAGCTCACTGCAGCCTCAAACTCCTGGGCTCAAGCAATCCTCCAATCTCTGCCTCCTGAGTAGCTGGGATTACAAGTGTGAATCACTGTACCTGGCCCATAACATAAATTTGCTTTTTAATCGAGGTGGGGAGGGGGGATTTATCTTCAAGGCATGGCAAATACTTGTTCACAAATGAACATAAATTTCATCTGTTTAGATTAATAGTAATATTTTCTTTTGCATCTCAAGATTCTATATACCTCAAAAAAAGTTTAATACTCTCTTAAATGCTTCTCAGCTTTTAAAATAATTTAGTTTTTATAACTTAGTTGTAAAAATGTGACTGAAAATAAATGTGTAAAGGAATTGGTGATCCTAATTCTTTAGCTGTTAATCAAAGGTGAATATCAAATATCAGTGATAAAGTTCCTGAAATTGGCAAAACAAAATTTTTGGCAACACTAATCTCTTCTCATCTTTATCTGCATTCTAAATTAAGTAGCATTATCAAAAAAGTGGGGTGGAGCATTCTTTCCCAGGGTTGGGCAGAATGTTGGAGAAGGAACAAAGATTGAACAGAATTGTCTGAACCAGTAGCCTTTGCCTATATTTTCTAGATTCTCTACTTGTCATGTTTAGACTCAAAATTAATTTTTTTTTTTTTTTTGAGACGAAGTCTCACTCTTGTCGTCCAGGCTGGAGTGCAATGGCGCGATCTTGGATCACTGCAACCTCTGCCTCCCGAGTTCAAGTGATTCTCCTGCTTCAGCCTCCCAAGTAGCTGGGATTACAGGTGTCCGCCACCATGCCCGGCTAATTTTTGTATTTTTAGTAGAGACAGGATTTCACCATGTTGGCCAGGCTGGTCTCGAACTCCTGACCTCAGGCGATCTGCCCGTCTCGGGCTTCTAAAGTGCTGGGATTACAGGTGTGAGCCACCATGCCCGGCACAAAATTAAATTTCAAGTGTTTGTATCTCTTCTATTTCCTTTTGATTTAAGTTGGCAAACACAATTCTCCAAGTCCAAGCATACCTGATGCAATTAATTACTAAATTACTATTTACTATAATTAAGTACTGAAAAGTTATTTACTTCAAGGAAAATCAAATTTAAAAATGAGAATTAGTAATTTGGAGTCCTTTATATGCTTGAAGTTATTTCTTCTCGAGACCAAGGAAAGGCCTGTTATCCTAAAATACAATTTTGCTGAATGAAATATGTAATCATGAATTCACTGAGTAGAAATAGTTGTAAATTTATCAAAGATAATAAATTATTCCTCAAGGATTAGAATGACATTAATAAAACTAAGAATCTACAAAGCCCCAAGAGATTAAGTTCAAATAGGGAGCAGTTCACAGTGGGGAAAATAACCCAAAAGCCCAGAGGGAAAGACTAAAACAGTAGGGACAGCTTATTCCAGAAAAAGGAAAACTTAGTAGAGATTAAACATTTTCCAATACTTAAAAGGAGATTGAATGTTTATTGAGTTATTGCCAATTAAGGGAGGATTTAATTGGCTTAAACTCATATTTTTGAGGGAGTTTGGTTTAGATTTTTTATACCAGAAATCTCATTTCTCATCATAGCTTAAAGAAGAATAAACTAAGCACCTTCCTACAATGTCTTAAGGAAAAAGATAATTAAAACCCTATCTGAAGTGGCACATGGAGTCAAGTTCTCAAGCTTCTCTATAGCTACAGTCTTCATCTGAGTTTTGCAAATTTAACTTATGCAGCTGATATTTACCTATACAGAAAACACCTTGATTTTAAAAAGGGACTGAAATCCACATTAAAGCAGTGACTCTTTGTAAGGAGTTTCCTTCATTAATGCAATTTCCACTCCTATTATAATCATGTCGTGCTGTTCACCAGAGATCTCTGTTTGCAGAACTGCACCAGCCAAGGGCTCCAGTACTTCTGTCCATGGTACTGAGGAGTGAGCCCTTTATCTGAAGAGCAGCTGCAGGGCATACTGGAATTGCACTATATTTGAAAGCACCTGGAGTCACTGGAGTCCCCTTAATTATGCTGAGGAATGGGGCTCTTTGGTCTTATGCTATCATTAACTGTGAGACCTTGAGCAAGTTGCTCAACAATTCTAACCCTTTGCTTCTTCTTCTGTAAACCAGAGGAATAAACCACATGCTGTCTATGCAAGACCTAACGGAAAGGTCGTGTGGATACTGGGAAAAATCACTGACTTTCTTTCTGCTATTCTCTATGCTTTATGACTTAAAAAGACAGACTCCAAAGGCATATTGTTGCTTCTGTCTTAGTCATGAGACATGAAGTACATCTGTATGTCTTCCCAAATTGATCAAACAACAAAATATTGCTTAAAGAATCAAGCATAGCCATGTTTACTATATTTTATGTGAAATTACAGAAGTTACTATGGTAATTAGGTGGGTTAAACATTAACAGGAACAATGTCTTGATGCTGTTCTTCTCAAGAATGATTTCAAACTCTCTTGATCATCTGAACTGAGTCACTCTGATTGTTCAAGAGTGGAAGAGAAAAGAACGTGAATTAGTCACAAAGGAAGAAAACAGTCTGTACCCATTTATAAGAGAAAAAACAAAATTAAAGTTTCCCAAAGAGAAACAAGAACCTCAGGTCAAACAAATAATGCACTTAATCTCTACCAAAACACCTTGAAAAACTGCTGTCTGGAATGAATTAAAGAGCCCAATTGCCTCTTAGGTGCAGAGTGCTCAGCAAGCCAGTTTCCTATGGAGAGTAGAGACAGCTTTTTCAAGTAAGACTCCAGCAAGAACAATAACACCATCAAGTCCTTCTTACTGTACTCCATGGTGCATTCAGTCACAGAGTCTAACTGCTGCTTGAGACTTCCTGGGTCAAGAGAATCTGGTTCCATCCTTCTCTCTGCTAGCTGAAAGCCCCGAGATGGGTTTTATTTTAAAATATTAAAGAGAAAGTGAAGAAAACACGAGCCTAGCTCTGTGAACTGTGAAACTATCTGCTGAACACCCCAGAAGGGTCATCCAGCAGTGTCTTGATGGTGTTGTACCAAAATGTATCGTTGCAATAGGTTTAAATTGAGTGGCTGTGCACCACAGTGATAAGTGTCATGCCAATAAACAGATCCAATCAGACACAGAGCCAGAGAATTGGCAGGGGAAAAAACTAGTCATTTGGCCTTTTTAGCCCACACTGCAGCCCTTATTAATTGAGCAGAGGGTGGTCAGGTAAGTGAGAGAACAGCTCAGTAAGATTTGGAGAGATGAAGGAGCAGCTATTAATGTGCGGATTCTTCTCCATCAGGAACTAGGACAGGGCTTTGGGATAGAGGGACAAGGAGAAACCAAAGGCAGAGGAGGGGAAGAGGGATGAAGAAATAGAGGGAAAATGGTGCTTTTCTTCTTTCTTCACATTAGGAATGAGAAGGTTGTTTCTGAAGACCCACCCGCACCCCAAGCACGCAGGTGGGTGGCCAACTGCATATCTGGATTAAGCTGCAGTTAGTTAGTTCTCACACAGTGTGCGTTAGGAACTGTTAAAGGATCCCACACTAATGAGGGAATTGGGAATGGGTCTGACATGGTGTCGCTGGAAAATGAGACTCCCTACACTCTTCCCAATAGAGACGATGAGATGCAACATAAACATCAAGCAGTCTCCTGTCTCCCTGAGCTGGTTTTACTTTTTCAAAGCCTAGGAAGCCACAGGAGAGTGAAAGCTGAGACAAAAATTTAGAGAATTCTTTCCAGGCTTGAGAATAAACAGGATTTTTTTTTTTTTTTTTTTTTTTGTAAATTGAGGTATAATTTATAACCTAAGGTGCCTGGTATGCAGTGTTTTTAAAACTGTATCTCAAATTAATAATTTTAAAACCAAGTGCTAAGGAATGAGGTTTTGTGGGTAGAGTTTCAGCCTACCTGTGGCAAAATATATATAAGCCATCCTGAATGCAAGGCTGGCACCAAGGTATTGGAATATATTTTGCCAGCTAATTAACAAAGGCTACCCTAGACAGTGAGACGATGAAGGGTGATTATGATAGATTGTAGTGCAGCTCTAACTACAGAATTATCTTGGCAATAGCATCAGGCAACATAAAAAAGCTTCCAAACATATCCACAGCTAAATGCATTAAATGCATGATTACTTACTCCAAGTAAGTGCACTTCCTCTAGGTAGATTAACTTCAGAATCTAGGCAATATGTATAGGCACATTAGAAAGATTTTGGTATTAAAAAGATCTCTTTGTTACACTTTTTATAAAGGCCAGAAGCAATAAAAGTGCCTTTCTCCCTTTTTCTAAGCAAACTTAAGCAAAAAATAAATAAATAAATAAGATAAAATTGTAGGTCATGGCCACATCCATGCAAAATATCATTACCAATGGTCACATTTTTATTTTCTTTAAGACAAAGACCCAATACATGTCTTAATTTCTTCTAGCATTTGGATGATTGTCTGTGAAAGGGCCTTAAACCCACCACCAGGCAATATGACAGAAATGGTTCCGGAACTTACAATCTTCTTCTCACGTTTGCTATTGTGTTCTACTGGCATGCTGCTGCCATTGCTTCCTGAGGGTACAATGCAGCCAGGGTTATGTGCCTGAGGTGGAGGCATGCTCTGCAAAGGTTAAGACACACAGATGCATCACACACAAAGACGACAACGGCCAAAATACATATTAAGTACATGCAAGTTAGAAAAGCAATGCTAACACTCTTATTACATGTGAGTAATGCAGCAGCCAATTCTGCAGGCCAGAGTTAAACTACTGGAGAGATATGACAGGAATAAACAGATTCTGTGGCAAAAAGCATAATTAGTCTTATTTAAAAAACAGCCTTTTGACCAGGTACAACGGCTCATGCCTGCAATCCCAGTGCCTTGGGAGGCTGGGGCAAAAGAATCACTTGAGGCCAGGAGTTTCAGACCAGCCTGGGCAACACAGCAAGACCCTATCTCTATAAAAAACAAAATCAGAAATCCCCAAAAAGACAAAAAAGAAAAATAATTTTAAAAAAGGCCTTTAATCTTTTCAAAACACCTAGAAAACATCTTTCTCACTTGAAACATAAAAAAATACTTTGAAAAGCCATAAACACAAAGAAATAAAACCACAGCAGCAACAACAAACAAGAGATTCTACCATGACTCTGCATGCTTGAGAAAGAGGAATTCGAGAACGGGAACCATGGAGTGATGACCGTGCATGTCCACATGCAGCACTCAGCTTGTTAATGCACACTGCTGCTTCACAGGTGACACAACTCTGCTCTATTCTGCATAGTACAGACAAGTCAAGCATTTACCTCCTGGCTTAGAAGAGGCCTTGCTTCCAGGGCTATCCTTTTCTTATGCTCCTCTTTTACAGGCATTAGGGGCTTGAAAAACTTTGGTGGCTGAGGAGAGAATGCTTTAAAAGGGCTGACGGTTAAGGCATGAGGAGTCTCTGATGTACAACCTAGGGAAGATGAGAAGTTATGAGGTTACAGATGCTGAACACTTTAAGCAAAACATAGGAACTGAGACAATGACCCAGCCATGGGAATATCTGGGAGAACAATGAAATTCATAGGCTAATATTTGGCTAAGCATTAAAACAGATGTATGCCCACCCTGTGCAACATAGGGACACCAGTCTGTGAAAAAAAAAATAAACAGATAGCCAGGCATGGTGGTGTCTACTTGTTGTACTTGCTACTCAGGAGGCTGAGGCGAGAAGATCGCTTGAGCCCCAGGGGTTGAGGCTGCAGTGAGTTATAATGGTGCCACTGCACTCCAGCCCGGGCAAGAGAGAGAGAGGGAGACCCTGTCTAAAAACAAAACAAAAAAACCCCACAAACAACAAACAACAAACAAAAAAACCCCCAAAAAACCATGGAACAGATGTAGGCAAGAATAGACATAAATCTGTGATGTCACAAAGAGTTACTACAGTGCTAGTCTGTGTGAACAAAGTGAGATAGCAAATTTCTACACTCTTTTCAAGATCCAGCTTAAGCACCACTAACCAGACCAATTTCAGCTCACGCTGATTTTCCATTCCTCTGAATTCTCACAGCCCTTATTATCTGCATGTTCATTTTGGCACCTTATCATTTAACATCTCATTTTCTGTGTATCTTATTTCCATAGTTATAAGACAGAAAGTAGAGGCTCAATAAATATTCAATGAATTAATACTGTGTAAATTTTCTTGCGAGCCTCTTTTTTTCCCCCTCAGGCCACCCTGCTATATATGACTAAGGGAGGACAATTCTTCTTCCTTGCTTGTATCATTTCTTACCTTTTTGGCCTCTTTCCTCCCTTTCCAATTTGTTAGTATAATGGCGAATATACCTTATATTTTACCTACTAATATAAGGTATAAGGTAACAGAACCGATATATATGGCCAAAGAATACTGTTCCCATTAAGGCACTGGTAGACTGTATAATTTAGGTAATAATGTCACCATGAATCAAACTCATTTTGGGTATCGTTTTTGAAAACTGCTTTATGAATCAAAGTCATGTTCTTTTAAAAATTCCTTTGAGTACACAAATATGACAGAGCTGGATATTCTGGTAGAAAATAATAGGATTTGTATGTGTCTCAAAACTGGACTTGAAAGTCAGGAAATGATGACAAAAAATGATTCAGAAGTTCTAAAGTAATACACAAAAAGTCTATGATTATTTGGGTGATATGTTGGATACAAAACAAAAATAAATCAAATAAGTGAATGTTATATGTTACATTCAATAACAGTTTTGTATCATCTAGTTAACTAGAATATCAGCTTCATATCTTATTATATGCCATTAATGAAAGACATTTTTTCATACTTTTTCTAAGTAATTACAAAGAAATATCACTGCAAAATAATCTCACCACTACCTTCTTTATTCCTTCGAGGAGAATCCCTGGGTAAAGTTCCATAACATGCTACATCTTGGTAACTGGAGCTATAGTCAGACATGTCCAACTGGTTCTCTGGCCAACCCTACAAGGTAAAAATATGGGTTAACTGTAATTGAATCACTCCAAAATAAGAAATAAAGCCCAGGTTGGAGTTTCTTCTGTTTTTTTTTAATGGCAGCATATGCTCTTCTTTATTTTTATTATGATTTATTTCAAATATACAGAAAGGGCTGAATATCGTAAAAAATACTGTCATATCCAAGGTATACCCGGAGTGAATACATGTTAATATTTTATTATATTTGCTCAAGTTTAATAAAATTATTACAAATGTAGTGTGATCTTTTGGTCCCATTCATCTTCCTTCCTCCCCAGAGGTAGCTACTTTGAGCAATGTGGCATATACCCAGAGTGACTTGATAATTTAATGACCAAACTGAAACACTCTCAAAGGACAACTGTTCCATTAGTAATTCTGCCTGGGTAGAAGGCACAGCTGAGACTGTCCAAGGCAAATTTGGCAGTGTGGTTACTCTACCTATATTTGAGATTTAAAAGTTTCAAAGAGGCATAAAGTATTGGTATACAAAACAGAGAAAACGCTGGCATATCATACGAGCTTACTTAATCTTATGTCAACTTATCAGGAGTTGATTGCCTCTGAAGACTAAATTTTAAACTTCTTAAGGACATAAATCTGTGCTTATACCTTTTGGATCATCTAGTCTCTAGCATAGTAACTCATATATAATATGTATTCAAGAAATATTTGTTGAATAAGATCATGTTGCAATCTGTCCTTAATTTTAAATCCCCTCTTTTACCCATTGAAATAATTTTGATTATGCTATGGTGGATGTAACACCTTCTCCAATCATTTAGAGTTAAACCCATAAACACACAGATATCTATTCAATTATGTGTGGTACTGTCCTGGTATGGAACCTATCATGGTAAGTAACAATGTAATACTGAAAGTGCATAGCAATTGTCTGGGCATGGTGGCTCATGCCTGTAATCCAAACACTTTGGGAGGCCGAGGCGGATCGATCACCTGAGGTCAGAAGTTCGAGACCATCCTGGCCAACATGGCGAAACTCCATCTCTACTAAAAATACAAAATTAGCCAGGTGTGGTGGCAAATGACTATAATCCCAGCTACTCGGGAGGCTGAGGCAGGAGAATCGCTTGAACCTGGGAGGTGGAGGTTGCAGTGAGCCAAAATCATGCCACTGCACTCCAGCCTGGGTAACAAGAGTGAAACTCTGTCTCAAAAAAAAAAAAAAAGAAGTGCAAAGCAATATCACATCAAGTATTTGAACCTGGAAATGGAGTTGTGGAGAGAGTTATTTGCTTACAATTAAGATGGGAAGCCCAGAGATTTTTCTTTTTCTTTTTTTTTAAACTGACAGGATCAACCAGGTGAGGCCCAGAGATTTTAAAAACACCAAGATCCCACAACTTTCCAGACTAAGATTCTACTAAAAACCTAGCCATGCCCATAGGTGCATACCTTGTCATCTTCATCAAAGCCAGAAAGGTCCGGTCGGCTGGAAGAGACCTATAAGAGAAGAATGGTTTTAGCAATGTGGTTTATATATTTAATATAAGGGGTTTTTTTTATATAAAGAAACAGAATGTCACAGTTGAAGCCTGCAGTCTTCATTCTTCTCCTCCTCTTTCTTCCCTCTCCAGGAGTAGTGACTACTCTCAATTTGGGGTTTATCATTCCCATATAAGTTTTATATAATTGTATGTGTATATACTCATAACCAATAGTTAACATTATTTTGCATATTTTATGCTTCACATAAGTGGTATCTTACTATATATGGTCTTATTCAATAGTCTAGTCAAGTATTGATATGTGTACTATTTTTAGTATCATTTAATTCTAAATACAACCTGTATATTTATGAGAATCTCTAGAGTATATATCTAAGGGATGTAATCTCTGGGTTGTACAGGAGTATATTTTGACTGCTTTTCCATACAGGTTTTAGAATCAGCTTATCAAATCTTACAAAAAATTCTGTTGAGAATGATTAGCTTAAGGACATGCCAATTTTTTGATACTGTGAATTCTCATCAACGAGCATAGTAATAGTCATTATTTTAGTATAGTCCTTCTTTTTGGTGATAGCTGTATTCAGGTTTTCTATTTCTTCTTGATTCAGTTTTTACAGGACATTTCCATTTTATTTAAGCTTTTACATTTGTTGGCATAACATCAAGTTATGAGGTCTCGCTATGTTGCCCAGGCTGGTCTCAAATTCCTGGCCTCAAGCAATCCTCTCGCCTTGGCTTCCAAAAGACTTTACTTGATCAGATTGAGGTTGAAAAAAATATTTTTTTTTTTAGATTACTTCATAAGCAGTTTTTCTTCACTTTTTTTTTGAGACAGAGTTTCACTCTTGTTGCCCAGGCTGGAGTGCAATGGCGCAATCTCGGCGCACCGCAATCTCCTCCTGGGTTCAAGCGATTCTCCTGCCTCAGCCACCCGAGTAGCTGGGATTACAGGCACCTGCCACGATGCCCAGCTAATTTTGTATTTTTAGTAGAGACCGGGTTTCTCCATGTTGGTCAGGCTGGTCTTGAACTCCCAACCTCAGGTGATCTGCCCACCTCAGCCTCCCAAAGTGCTGGGATTATAAGCGTGAGCCACCGTGCCCGATCTTCTTTACTTTTTAAGCTAGATGTTTACCTAATTCTTTTTTACTCTACTTTTTAATATAAGAGCTATATATTTCCTAATAGTAGCCCTCACTCTCTCATTTTTTCTACTGTCTAGTATTCTGCTTTATACAGAATTATAGGGAATTTAGGGCTAATAATTTCTAGGTACCACTTTAGCTGCATTGCACAAACACTGATCTATGTATCATTTTTATTCTCATTTAGTTCTAAATACATCCTAATTTCCATCATAATTTCTTCTTTGAGAAATGAGTTCATGAAAAGCGTTTTTCAATTTACAACTATATGAGTCTCTCTTATCTATTTCTAATAAATGCATTGTGGTCAGAAGAAGTAATCTGTGTGATAATAATTACTGGGATTTGCTCTGTAGCCCACTGTAGGACAATTTTTGTAAGTGGCCACCATGTTTTAAATAATTTTCTGGCAATTCTAGAGAACAGGAAGGCAAATAAGCCTGTGTTTTTCCTTGGAAAGACCTTACTTCTACTCAGCTGCTTCTGGGAAGTGGCTGCTTAGAAGTGCTCCATGCACTAATCTGTCCTATCCCTCTGTGACAGTGTCCCCCCTGCTAGGATCAGTTTCTGTCAATTGGATTTTCTAGATTAACTGGTTGAGAAAAATAACGAAAATGGTCAAAGGAACAACTAGGGACTCCAAGAGTGCCTACATGCAGTGGCTGACTCCTTATCACACTGATGGTGGCAGACTCAGAGCCACCAGGGCAGCTAGAATGGGCACAAAAACTGACCCTGGAGCAGCCAGCGTCCAGGGACTCGGGTGCAAGTATTCATAGCTGACTCCACCATCTGTAACCAACTAAACTCAATTTATATCTTAAGGAACTTCTTTCAAGGAGATAACTTGCTGAACAGGAATTCATAAGATTGAACAAATGGCTCAGTCTTAGACAACTGTGCTGCCTGGTGTGTGTCCCTGGTACAGAGAAGCAGGCTACACTTTGGGATGCCCACACCAGTTCCATAAGCTCTACTGCCACTGTGTGAATCCCACCTTCCCCCACCCCAGAGGCTGCGACATGTCACATAGGAGCAGATCCTTGGCAGGATGCACTTACATTATGAACATTTGGTGTACTGAGGCTCCTCCGAATGTGCCGGGCTTTGGTGGAAAGTGCTTCTTTGACTGTGACGGCCTGTAAACATAATAATTTGAAAATAACACTTTTTTTTTTTTTCCCCAGAGACAGAGTCTCACTCTGTTGCCCAGGCTGGAGTGTAGTGATGCGATCTCTGCTCACTGCAACCTCTGCCTCCTGGGTTCAAGCAATTCTGCCTCAGTCTCCTGAGTAGCTGGGACTACAGGTGCACGCCACCACACTCGGCTAATTTTTTTTTGTATTTTAGTAGAGACGGGGTTTCACCATGTTGCCCAGGTTGGTCTTGAACTCCTGAGCTCAGGCAATCTGCCCACGTCGGCCTCCCAAAGTGTTAGGATTACAGGCGTGAGCCACCGCACCCGGCCATTACTTTATTTTTTATTCTAATTATAAAAGTAACATATGTTTATTTATAGATTTAAATATAGACTGCATCAGTTCTACATACATACACATTTATAAAACTGAAATATTATTTTACCCACTTATTATTATTTGTTTAGCAATTTATCAAAAATATTTTTTTTAAGATAAATAAAACTGCAGGGTGTGGTGGTTCATGTCTATAATCCCAGCACTCTGGGAGGCTGAGGCAGGTGGATCACAGACAGGAGTTCGAGACCAGCTGGCCAACATGGTAAAACCCTGTTTCTACTAAAAAATACAAAAATTAGCTGGGCATGGTGGTGGGTGCCTGTGGTTCCAGCTATCTGGGAGGCTGAGGCACTACAATTGCTTGAACCCAGGAGGCAGAGGTTGCAGTGAGCTGAGATTGTGCCACTGCACTCCAGCCTGAGCGACAGAGCAAGACTCTGTCTCAAAAATAAATAAACAAATAAATAAATAAAACCAGGAAAACAGCAGAATGGAAGACATTTATGTTGTGAAATTTTTATACAGGTGGACAGAGAAAATGTAGAAGAGGTACTTCTAACTATGTATCTCATTTGCAAAATGACAATGAAGTGTGATGCTGTTTGTATTTTACTCATGCAGCAATTCAGGTGGGATTTCCACTAAGGGAAGATTTTTCTGACAGATGCCAATTACATTCCTCCTATTAATCAACACCTCCCCCAATAATGTCAACTATTGCTCCTATGAAATGACATATCTTATCTTATAGTTGCATTACTTAGTGGATTATTTTCACTTGAATGACCTGTTGTCACCTCAAAAGTTAACTCAGGTCTAAAAATTAGGGAGATAGTAAGTCTGTGTTTAAGCATATGTGCTTTGGAGTCAAGCTACTTGGCTTTACATCCGACTTTGTACCACTTCCTAGCTGTGTAACCATGGGTGAGTTAGCTAACTTCTATCAGCCTCAATTTTCTCATTTGAAAATGGGGATTTCAACAGTACTTACCTCAGGGGGTTATCTTGAAGATTAAATGAAATAATATACCTAAATTACTCAGGCTCAGTGCTTGGCAAGTAGGGGTTATTCAATAAAAGTTAGTCATTATTTTTATTTTGGTTACTATTTTGCCAGAGTCCTTTCAATAGAGATGGCTCAAGTGCTCCTTCTCTGATAGATTTAGTGAGGTGTTTGGTAAGTAAATTCATATCTGTCCATTGGGGGTGAAGGCTGGTGCTTTCATCCTCGGTCCAGATATTCAGTTACTTGCCTGCCGGAGCCGTTCAAGACTCAGAATGTTTTCCACCTGCAGCACGCCTCGAGTGTACTTCTCAATGTACGTCTCCCCATCTGATGTGCCTTCGTTTTCACTCCTTGCTGCCAGGAGAGCCAGCGTTTCCCGGTCCTCTATCTCCTCAGTTGCCTACGAGGACAGGAAGGAAGTGACAATACTTTGATGTGAACAACGTTTTCATCCAAAGTGTGGTGAGAAAACGTTTTAGAAGTCTGGAGAATGAACACATTCTCCATTATTTAGATACTGATATTTTTTAAAGTAGCATATATATATATATATATATATTTTTTTTTTTTTTTTTTTTTTTTTTTTTTTGAGACAGAGTTTCGCTCTTGTTGCCCAGGCTGGAGTGCAATGGCGCGATCTCGGCTCACTGCAACCTCTGCCTCCCAGGTTCAAGCGATTCTCCTGCCTCAGCCTTCCTGAGTAGCTGGGATTACAGGCATGCGCCACCATGCCCAGCTAATTTTGTATGTTTAGTAGAGATAGGGTTTCTCCATGTTGGTCAGGCTGGTCTCGAACTCCCGACCTCAGGTGATCCACCCGCCTCGGCCTCTCAAAGTGCTGGGATTACAGGCATGAGCCACTGCGCCCGGCCTAAAGTAGCATATATTTTACCTTTGGTATATTGGATACTATTTCATAGGTTACACCACAGGAATAAAATATATTTTTCAGGGATATTCTCCTCTTCAAACTCTGCGTGAAACTCTAGTAGAAAAAAAAAAAAGCTGTATTAAGCTATGTGACAAATGTAAGTTATTTTGTATTTTTTTTTTTTTTTTTGAGATGGAGTCTCGCTGTCGCCCAGGCTGGAGGGCAGTGGCGCGATCTCGGCTCACTGCAGGCTCCGCCCCCTGGGGTTCACACCATTCTCTTGCCTCAGCCTCCCGAGTAGCTGGGACTACAGGCGCCTGCCACCTCACCTGGCTAACTTTTTTTTTTTGTATTTTTAGTAGAGACGGGGTTTCACCGTGTTAGCCAGGATGGTCTCGATCTCCTGACCTCGTGATCCGCCCGCCTTGGCCTCTCAAAGTGCTGGGACTACAGGCGTGAGCCACCGCGCCCAGCCAGTTATTTTGTATTTTACAAATTGTAGAAGCATTACAAGTTACTATGTTTTTGAAATGCAGAATACTCAGCATAACAGAAAAAACTGAAGCTAAGAATCCCTGTCTCCAACCCCAAGGGATACTAACGTCCAGCTGTTAGTTGGGAATTTGACTACAGAATCTGCAGCATGTTCAGGATTTCTGTGGTTGCTTCTCTCTCCCATCTGCTGCCTTCCTGTGATCTCTCCAGGGCTTAATCAGTCTTTCCTGAGATGGCTAGAACAACACTGGAGAGGATCAGTTTCACTGACAGCACCTCTGAGATGGGATCCGTCAAAGCAGTAGGATAGGGATTTGTTTGGAGTCTGCCTTTTGTCCTGGTTTTGTCACTCACTTGCTTGGACCTGGCACTTAATCTCTCAGCCTCAGTTTTTCTACTTTTCAAACAGTGAAATATCACAGCTCCACTGCCTGGTAGGATTACACCTCTCCAATCAGTCAAGGTGAAACTGCCCTTACTGGATGACATTGACCTCTGCTATCCTAATGCCCACTACCTTGGATAAATGAGAATCAGACTATAACTTGGCCAGGATGGTCATGTTTTGCACATCACAGCACCAAAAAACACTGCTTTGTGATAGAGAGAGGGAAAAATCTTTTGAGCTCAGAGCCAGAATGGCACAATCAGGCCCCGTTATTACCTGTTTGTTGTAAATATTGGCTGCAATTCGTTTTCGTAATACTAACTCCATAGCAGCAGGGTGGCTGAGTTGAACTGTGGTTTTCACAATTAGGTAAATCCTTTCATTCTGTGGTGTGACCCTATTCAAGTGAACAGAATCATGCACCGAGGAATCCCAAGAGGCTGTGGCTGAAACCTAGGAGTTGGGGAATGATGAGGAGATGGAAACAAGACAAAAGTCAGATGTAGCAGTTTTACAGGACATACAAGAGAAAGAAAATAAATTCAACTCACTGTAATCAAATAGATTTCTTTCCTCACCTTTTTTAAACAGCAACACAAATGTTCTATTTTTTAAAGTCCCCGGTCTTTTTCCCCAAAGCAAACCATAGCAGTTTAGTGAGCAGGCCCACAAGCCTTGTGTGCTAATCTGAAGCCTTTTAAGAGAAACTTGGGGGTTAATTACCTCATCATCACTGTGCTTTATGATGGGCAGGTAGAAAAACTGGCTGCCATGCTCCTTGGGCAGGATGGAGTTCACGCCGGATGCATGGGGGCCAACAAGCTGCTCATTGGCACTGAGGTCATCCGCTAACCACATCAGGAGCACAGAAAAAACAGTAGGGGAAAGTCAGTTTTTAAGCAAACACCAAAAATTTAAATATATGCTTTTTACAGTTGAAGTTTACACATAACACATTTTTCTTTTTTCTTTCATTCCTTATTCTGCAGTTGAAATAGAGACTCCAAGACTCACAACAGCTTTTTTTCTTTTTTAAAAAATCATTATGTTTAATAGAGATGAGGTCTTACTATGTTGTCCAGTCTGGTCTTGAACTCCTAGGCTCAATGAATCTTCCTGCCTTGACTTCCCAATGTGCTGGGATTACAGGGGTGAGCCACTGTACTTGGGTTTTTTTTTTTTTTTTTTTTTTGAGACAAGGTCTTGCTCTGTTGCTGATGCTTGAGTGCACGGCCTGATCATAGCTCACTGCAGCCTTGAACTTCTGGGCTCAAGAGATCCTCCCACCTCAGCCTCCTGAGTAGCTAGTACTACAGGTACACACCACTATGCCTGGCTAATTTGTAAAATTTTTTGTAGGGATGGAGTCCATCTTTGTTGCCCAGGCTGGTCTCCAACTCCTGAACTCAAGCAGTCCTCCTGCATGGTCCTCCAAAAGCCCTGGGATTACAGGCATAAGCTCATCGTGCCCCACAGCTTTTATTCTTTTTTTGTTTTTATTGAGATGGAGTCCCGCTCTGTAGCCCAGGCTGGAGTGCAGTGGTGTGATCTTGGCTCACTGCAACCTCTGCCTCCCAAGTTCAAGCGGTTTTCCTGCCTCAACCTCCCGAGCAGCTGGGACTACAGGTGTGCACCACCATGCCCAGGTAATTTTTGTATTTTTAGTACAGACGGGGTTTCACCGCGTTGGCCAGGATGGTCTCAATCTCTTGACCTCATGATCCACCCGCCTCAGCCTCCCAAAGTGCTGGGATTACAGGCATGAGCCAACATACCCGGCTGCTTTTATTCTTTAAAAATACAACAGGAGCCAAAAAGTTGCCTTGTGAGTCTCCTATAAGATGGAATGAATATATTCTTTGTTGTCCTAGGTACAAATATATTCATTAAACACACCTCGGAGGCTGAGCGCAGTGGCTCACGCCTGTAATCCCAGAACTTTGGGAGGCCGAGCTGGGTGGATCACGAGGTCAGGAGTGCAAGACAAGCCTGGCCAAGATGGTGAAACCCCGTCTCTATTAAAAATACAAAAATTGGCCAGGCATGGTCGTGGGTGCCTGTAATCCCAGCTACTTGGGAGGCTGAGGTAGAAAACTGCTTGAACCCGGGAGGCGGAGGTTGCAGTGAGCTGAGATCATGCCACTGTACTCCAGCCTGGGTGACAGAGTGAGACTCTGTCTCAAAACAAAACAAAACAAAACAAAACAAAACAAATCTTAGAATTTTGCTGCTTTCTGAGGTCAATTCCTCCTGTAAACTGTTAGGTTTGTTGTCCTACTTAATAACTTACTATAAATTAGAGATTTTAGCAATGAAATCAATTTAGAATCAAAGTTCTGAGCACTTGGGAGAAATATGAAGATTATCTTCTTCCAACATCCTATCCAATATGGGGTTCGCCCCTCACAAATCTCTGTAAATGGCCAACTAGTCTTTGTTTATATACCTCCTATGACAGGGAACTCACTATCTTATGAGGCATACATTCAACATCTAGGCTTTAAAAAAGAAATTCTTCACATGAAGAGCCAAAGCCACCCTCCCTGTGTCTTCCATCCATTATTTTGGGCTTCCTTCTAGAACAGAGGTTTTCAGGCTGTGTTTTGAGGAGCCCTAGGGCCCTGCCAAAGGATCTACCAGGATCCTGCCCACTGCAAACTCAGCAACTCTGCCGTTGTTTTCTACACATGGGGTTCCAGTTAATATTTCGTTTAGAAAAGGATTGTTCTGCTAAAGCACATTGGAAACCATTGTTCTAGACTTGCCCAGGTTCCATCTAATTGCAATATGAAGGACAACCCCTAAGGCAGGGTTATAGTGTGATCACTTCTGCCATCAAAACTATTTGAGGAGAGTTAAGGGCACTAGTCAGAGATGCAGATTCATAGGCCCTTGCCAAGCCTAAAGACTCAGAATCTCTAGGGGTGATTACTTTCCAGGGTAATTTCTATGTCCACTGTTTCAGAGCAACTGTGCTAATGCTCGTGCATGCAGTTCTCAATCACCCTATGTGCTCTTTTTTTGATTATCCACATATCATGCTTATATACGTTTAATGAGAACAAAAATGTCACCCAATTTGGCACATGAATGATTAGAAGAGTGATTTAAGGATCAAAATAATGTGAATCTGGATAGATTACAAACCTTAGTTAAATACAATAATCCCTGTGACTTTAAGTGTCTACTTACCATTCAAATCGAGGAAGAGAACTGGTATGTGGGTTTCCATTCCAGGAGGTGGGATCCTAAATTTAATAACAACATTTAATCATAACAAAATATGTATTTTACATCTTGTTAGCTGATAAAACACCACAGAGCTGTGGAAGCAAAGAGAACCATGGTGGAGATGCAGTTTCCACTAATGAAATACTTTCATATTTCTTGACTTCCCTGTAGACATAAATCATGGGAATTATATGACTTACATAAAAGAACTTCCAGTTATATGAGTTACATGTAATTAATTGAAACAAAGATGATTTTAAGCCTTTCTAAAAATAATTCCCATGAGAGGTAAAGGGAAGGGGGGATGTTGTTAGGGTGGTAACGGGACAGGATCAGAGCCTAGAGGAAGTAAACAAAAGCTCAAAGCTCAAAGGACAGAATGAAAGATGTGTGAAAGGAGGGAGGGTTGTGTACAGAAGAGACCAAGCAGTGTTTTATCAAAAACTGGCCCAGGGATGGGCATGGTGGCTCATGCCTGTAATCCCAGCACTTTGGGAGGCAAAGGCAGGAAGATGGTTTGAGGACTGGAGTTCAAGACCAGCCTGGGCAACACAGGGAGATCTTGTCTTATAAAAAAAAACAAAAAAACACTAGCTGGGTGTGGTGGCACAGGCCTGTGGTCCCAGCTACTTGGGAGGTGGGAGGATGGCTTGAACCTGGGAGATCGAGGTTGCAGTGCACCAAGATCGTGCCACTGGTACTCCAGCCTGGGAAACAGAATGAGACCCTGTCTCAAAAAAACAAAAAACAAACAAAAAAACCCAACTTGCCCAGCTGCATCAGAACCGCCTCAGAGGCCTCTTAAAGTGAAGAGTCCCTTTAGAAATGCAAATTCTTATTTAAAAAAATAAAAAAAGAAGAGTCGTGGGTCCTTCCTTTCTCTTCTGAATCAACATAACTAGGGATGACACCCAGGCCTACATGTTACAAACACTCAAGATGATCTGAAGTTTGAAAACACTTTACACGAGAGAGACTGAAGTAAGGAGACAAACTGTCTAGAGAGGGCTTTGAGGGCCAGAACAAGATTGGGGTGAGTAGGCTGTCTGTAAGAAGTGGCTGGCAGAATTACCGCAAGAGACCTACAGGATTCCAGCACAACAGCAGGAACTGCAGGGAGAAACATCAGGTTATGAATTATGTGCCTGCAGATTCAGAGTCTCTAGTTTCAGAAAACAGACCACGAAACTGATTACTTTTCCCTTTATCATTAGAGATGCAGGTATTATCACTAATGTTTCTATGCCAGTTCAAAAAAGACTATCTGGGCATGTACATTCTGTGTTCAAAAGGAATCTGATTTCTCTTAAATGCCCTGGATATGTTATAATAAAAATGAGAATGAGAATAAGCAGCAGCAGCTAGGATTTAATGAATGGGTATGAAAGGTGTTTTATACACATTACAATATACAAGATAGTATTATCATATATAAGGTATTTTATATACATTATCTCTAATTCTCACAATACTACCAAAAAAATAGCTCCACTAATATATTTTCTGTCCTATTCAAATACTTTCCAGCCAAGATAAAAGAGTTTCTGGGCATCAGGGAACAATGTCCAAGTTGCTTATGCAGAGGAACAGAGGAGTGGTATGTGATTCCTGGCCAGGTAATCAATGCTCTCTCGCTTCCTGTGGGAGAAAGTTGGCTTCGGTGGGGAAGGAAAAAAAGGGATGGAAGCATTAGAGATGAGTGGACATTCCCTAAGTAGTTCAGCTGGTTGGCATTTTCTGTGACAATCCTGGAAAGTCTCTTGCATGGCTCTTGCCACAGGCGACCTGTACCATCTCCCCAGGTCTGCACAGAAGGGAGGGCAGCCTTACCAGTCGGCAGGTGCCCCAGGAATCCCACTGCCTGGGGCTGGCACCAGCACAGCATTCCTTTCCTCAGTCAGCCCTACCCACTGCTCCACAAGCTGGGCTTCCCGCTCCACATCGTCCTCTGTTTTCTCTGCAGAAAAAAATGAGGAGATCAATGCCAACAAGAGAGAAAGTATGACTTCTCAGTTTACAAGGAATAGATTTCAGCCTGGGCAACATAGTGAGACCCCATCTCTACCAAAAAAAAAAAAATAGTTGGGCAGGGTGGTGGTACGCATGCCTGTAGTCCCAGATACTCAGGCAGCTGAGGTGGGAAGATCACTTGAGCCTGGGAGTTCAAGGCTACAGTGAGCTATCATCACATTACTGTACTAAAGCCTGGGCAACAGACAAGAGACCCTGTCTCAAAAAACAAGCAAACAAAAACAATAAACAGATTTCACTCAGTGCTATCTATAAGTGGTTTAACCATCCACTATGTCCCTAAAATGGATTTGAGTCTTTGAAGTTCAAGCAAGAGCATGCATAGGGAGCTAAGAGGGGCTTCAACACCAATTTAAGGAACTGCAAGCCAGAAATAGCAGAAAGAGCATTGGAACAGCAATTATGAGACTGAGGTTATTTTACTGGTTCTGTAATTTGGGGAAGTTATCCAACAGATGAGTCTCCTTAACCTGTCAAACAGGGATAAAAGAAGTCGTATCTACTTCATGTACTTGCTGGAAGGATCAAATGAAATACGGATGTGACACTGCTTTATAGAACTATACATGATGTTACAAAGACAGGATTAAAAAACACCATAGGCCGGGCACGGTGGCTCACGGCTGTAACCCCAGCACTTTTGGAGGCCGAGGTGGGCAGATCTCCTGAGGTCAGGAGTTCAAAACCAGCCTGACCAATATGGTAAAACCCTGTCTCCACTAAAAATACAAAAATTAGCCAGGCGTGGTGGTGGGCGCCTTGTAGTCCCAGCTACTCAGGAGACTGAGGCAGGAGAATTGCTTGAACCTGGGAGGAGGAGGTTGCAGTGGGCCAAGATCATGCCACTGCACTCCAGCCTGGGCGACAGAGGGAGACTCCATCTCAAAAATAAAAATAAAAAAATAAAAAACCCACCATATATCTTACTCTGTAAAATCACCTTTATTTTCCTCGAGGCTTATCATGAAAGGGATTTTATCTGATATACTTTGAAATCCTCTTATTCATAATTCAACTCTGGGGCTCCCTGGGTACAGTCTAAGTGAGTTTTCATTAGCAGCCTGAGCACACACACAAGGCGACATCACATGTTGAGCCAAGGTGTTTTCCTGAGGGAGACTTTCTGCTAGCTTCTACATGAAATGGATTAACATGCATGATGTGTATGTTCTTTGCTGCAGAACCAACCACCGTGAGTGGACCATGATGTCTGGATGACAGACTAAGGATTTTAAGTGCATATTTCTACTCTAGAATCCAAGTGGCCACTGCTAGCATAAGCAAACTGCACCCTTGGAGCTGAGTGGCAGTGAATAGAGTTGTAGGGGCCACCCTGAACCAGCGGAGTGCATGGCAATGGCCCAACAGTGGATAGGTGCTGACCTGCTAAGCGGTTTGGTTTCAGAAGTGACCCTTCAGCTGCTGTATGTCCTAGGTCCTGGTGCCTAAAGTACCTTGTATTGACATACTGGTATTGATCACATTTGTGTTCATCAAAACGAAATTTGAATTTGACATTTAATGTCACAGTTTTATGAGATAATTCTGAGTTTTATG